>NC_000010.11:10919090-11070606 GCF_000001405.40 Homo sapiens | reverse complement strand
AAGATTTTCACGACTCAAGATGTTCACCTGAACTACATGCAGATGAACCTCCAACTCCACACCTCCAGCCGGAAATTTCTCACCAGGCCCAGTCCTGTATGCACAAGTGCCTGGTTCAAAATCACCTCAAATGCCATCATCACTTTTTAAAATCCAAGTGTGACAATGCCCGTCCTCTGCTTAATTCCCTTAGATGGCTTCCCTTGTTCTTAGAATCGGGGAAGAAATCCTCCTCATGTCTACAGGTCCCTGGATCATGGGTGCCCGCATCCTCTCCAGCCTCGCCCCACCGCTGGTGCTCTCTGCATTCCCACCACCTGAGCCTTCACTTAGTTCAAGCAAACCGTCTGTCTCCTACCCTGAGTCCTTTGCATGTGTTGTTCTCTCTACCTGAAATTCTCTTCCCTCCTCCTTTGCCTGCTAAACCCACTGTATACGAAGAAAAAAGGGTCATCACCAATGGACCTCTTTTATTTTTTTACTTTTTGAATGAATTTAAAGAATGATTTAGAGAATAAAACAAGAGTACAAACATTATTGGAAACATTAGTGATAACTTAAATAGCAAACCCAAATTTTTACTCCAATTTTCCTAGCTTTGAAGCTTCAGATACTCAAAACAGGTAACTTCCTTGAATGCAACTAACTGCTCTTCGACTGTCCTGAATGAAGCTGGAATATATCCACCTTACAAATGCTAACTCTAGGTTTGAACGTAGCTCTAATAGGTTCTAGCTCATCATTACTTCTGGTTCTTTTCGTAGCTGCATGATCAAAACGCAGTATCTTAACATGTGACGGCTCATAGTTTTGCTGATGAAAGGACAGCCATATTCCTGGCTTAATAATTACGAAACACTTTCATTTCTGGATTTGGTGCAATCAATTAGAGTGACAAGCCAATGATTCTTTTCATTTCTACATCATATATTCCTTCTAACCACCTCTGTATACACACCTGCATTTGTCCACTTATAAAAACCATATGAAGTACATTTTCCATAAACAAACATCTTAAAAGATGAAATAATTTGTCACATGTCCTTCTAGCAAAAACAGAATGCTCCAGGTTTTTGCTGCAAAATGTTGCATGATGAAGTACTCCCTACTGAATGACTAACTGGATATGAATACCGTATTTCCTTTTCATCCATTGAAATGCATTACTGACTCACATGATTCCTGAGTTGAGGAAAATTCATCTGGGATATCTTCGTCTGAAGAATCTGAGATTTCACTTACACTATCAATTTCACCATCATCATTAGAGTCTAGAGAGCTTCTGTCTTTTGGCATTTATCTTCTGAATCATGTAGTAATCATGATCCTTTTCTTTGCTATCATGGGAGAAAATGATCAATTCTAAACTCTGTTCAACCAGAGATTTTTTTTAATTTACATAAAAACATTTCTTGACTTCTTTTATACCTGCTTGAAAGATACAAAAAACTGTGGGTCATGCAGTAAGAAAACTCAAGGATAATATAATAACACTTCACTATTGCATCAGCCTTATATTTGATTCCATCACTCACTGCTTTTCTAACATTTATTTTAGTATGGTTGGGAATAATTGATAAGCATGGATGAACAAATTCCTCAGATGATGAAATAGGAAAATGTTTCAAGATACAGAAAAGACCACTAAGACGTCACAACGTGTCTTAGGTGTACAAAAGGTCCAACAGAGCTATGTGGTAATGCTAAGACAGAATGAGTTGTTTTTTTGCCTTAAAAGAAATAATGAGGCCGGGTGCGGTGGCTCACGCCTGTAATCCCAGCACTTTGGGAAGCTGAGGCGGGTGGATCACGAGGTCAGGAGATCGAGACCATCTTGGCTAACACGGTGAAACCCCATCTCTACTAAAAATACAAAAAATTAGCTGGGCATGGTGACAGGCACCTGTAGCCCCAGCTACTCGGGAGGCTGAGGCAGGAGAATGGCGTGAACCCAGGAAGCAGAACTTGCAGTGAGCCAAGATCGGGCCACTGCACTCCAGCCTGGGCGACAGAGCAAGACTCCGTCTCAAAAAAAAAAACAGAAATAATGTTCTCATAATGTTCTGTTTGTTCCTTCAAAGACCTCTATGAAAGATTAAATTTATGCAACAGCAATCCTTTAAAGCACTTAAGGCATCTCATAAAAGAAACTCCAAAATTAAAATGGGGTCCAAGGGACCCTGATGGTATACTGAGGGTTGCAGGCAGCTCTTCACCTTTAAGATATTGGCATCATTGCCATCCTTTTCAGGGAAGATTTTCTGGATCTCCCTGATTAGGTCAAACTTGTCTATTATGCTGTTTTGTAATATCATTTTCTTCTCTCTCATAGCACTAACACAGTTGCGGTTTGACATTTATTGGTCTGATTAGTATGAGTATTTGGTCAATGTCTGCTCTCTCAATAAACTTTAAATAAGCGTAGAGACTGTGTTTCCTCAGCATCTGGAATCAGACATGACACACAGTAGGTTCTCAACAGGGACCTGGGAAAATGAGTCTAAATTTGGTTCTATCTCCACACTATGTGAAATAACTGTCATAATGGGTGAGAAGTGCCCACTATTGCTTCAGAATTTTTGCCTAAGAGATTGTTAACATATTTTCATCCTCCCCCCATCCCCTACTGTGTGATCCTTGACAACAGTGAAGGAAGTATTTACTAAGTACCTACTGGGATCAGGTGGTCTATGTTCAATGTTCTGTTTTAATTCTCAAAATCTTGCCAACTGAATATTCCCATTTTCACTTTACAGACGGGAAAGTGGGATTTAGAAGGTTAAATAACTTGCCCAGGGTCTCAGAACCAATAAATAGGAAAAGAGATTTAAATTCATGCCTGATCTGACTCTAACCTGTGTTCTTTCAACTTCAACCACTGGAAACACACAAGGGAAGCATGTTCTATTTCTTTTACAACTATCCAGAACACAGAGTTTCTTGCTTGGGAACCGGTGGGCACTAAGAGGTGTTGTCTAAAGAGCTATGATCCAATTTAAATCAATATTTAGATTTGGTTTGTCTTGCATGGGTTTTGTTTTTTTCTAAAAGGCTTGTACTGTCCTTGCCTTGTGTGTGGAATTTTATTTAAAGTAGAATATACGCCACACAGGCACTTAGAAGCGTTCTCATTTTCCTTGGACAACAGGAAGTCAGCTCCAGTGGATTAATAAGAGCAGTGTGCTACAGATATTACACATTTGCAAGCAAGTTTTACTTAGCAAATTCAGAAATAAAGTTCCCCAATGGACGACCTGCCTTTTACCGGCACTTCAAAAATATATTTCCACTGGCTATCAGAATGCTTGTTGCCATAAAATATCATGACTTAACGTAAGCCCAGTGTTTTTAATCTGCCAAATATGTACACATTTACGTACTCTTACAAGAGGTTATAATGGCTTCCTCCTTAGAACTCATTTCACTTCATACATTTCTATTACAAGCTGAGGTTCCTCCTTTCCAAATCCAACAGCAAAATCATGAGATGATGTCGCTAAAAGACATAAAAAAGCTAGAGTGACATTAAAGGACTAATAACTGGATGATGGAGGGAATTGAGAGTGAAGTCAAAGTTGCGAATTCAGGTCCCTCATTATAATTTCTACCTGTAGGCAAGAGTTCTATCATGCCACATGACAGTAACTACAGAGCCAAGCACAGTCTCACCCTGACTGTGCTGTTTACAACCGACAGCACCTACACCAGCGGTCTCAGGGGGAAGGGAGGAGATGCAGCAGGAGCTGGGGTTCTTGCTTCAATATACACATGCAAGTCTCTTAGCTCCCCCCACACCCTGGCACCTAGGAAACCATGCTGTAATTGGGAAATGGTAATTGGTAAGTCCCACAGATGAGTCCCCAACAAGCAGCAACCACTCCTCCTCCTTATCCCCGACAGACACACCTTGATCCACACAGTGCAACCAACCCACATGCACACCCCAGCTGACATAGTATCATCCTTTGGGCAACTACATATGTGAACGGTTAAAGAGCCTGAGGCTGACAAGTGGGATGCTCATGGGGGTCTGGGGAAATCTTAGGGTGGGAGGGCATGAGTGTTTCACTACTGTGGTTAAGAGTTAAGAGCCCACTGCCTCAGCTGGAATACTGACTCTGCCCTTGAGTGACCTGAGGTCCTCAGGTGAATCATTTATGCTCTCCCAGTCTCCGGGTCCTCCCCTATAAAATGAAGGTGATGACATGTACTGTTTGAAGTTGTTGTGAAGGGTCACAGGGTTAATCAACGTACAGTGATTGGCAGCACACCCACCATAGCAAGTATGAGCTATTGCTGTTACAATTTTCAGAGAAGGAAAAAAAAGGTGTGGTTCCAGAAAAGAGATGAAATTTAAGAAAAAAAAATAGTAGTTATCAAACAACTGATGAATGTCAAGGCACACAATGAAGCCAGCTCATTCTTCTGCTCAAATCCCTTTAAAGCTTTACTCCCGGTGCCATGGAAAACCTAACTGCTGACAAGGCCCTGTGTGGCTGGGACCCCACTTCCGGTGGCCTGATCTCCTTTTTTCCTCCTCCCTACGCCCTCTCAGCAGCCACAATGGCCTTTGGGTTCCTCCAACATGCCAGGTGCATTCCTGCTGTATGGGGCACTTCCAGTATAACTGCTTTCTGCCTGGACTACTCTACCCTGCATAAGCACGTGGCCTAATCCCTCAGTGGCTTCCTGGTTTTCTTTCAATTGCTCCTTCCGGAGAAAGCCTACCCTGATACCCTATTTAAAACTGCAACCCTCCCCGGGCCCTCCAAATCTGGAGCTCCTAGTTCTCCTTGCCCTGCTCTATTCCTACCCCTCACCCTGACCATAGTACCTTCTAAGTAAGTTGTTTTATTTATAGCATCTGCATTCCTCACTAGAGTGCACACTCAGCAATGGCGGGGGGTGGGGTTTGTCTGTCTTGTTCACTGATGCTCCATAAACATGTTTTGAAGGAATAAAATCTGAACTTCATATTTTAGATTTAAGTTTTTCCCTATTGGTTCAAAGAGGAAAACCACATCCTTGTGGGATCCCCCCCTCATTTTGACATGGATAAATCACAAACAACGACTGGAGCTCCTTATGATTCCAATGATCCAAGAAACCTCTAACCATCACACTAGATGGTTCACTGGATAGCAAACTACTTAGTGTACCGCATTTATTTCTACGCTTCTCTTTCCCAAAAGAATCTGAGCTCATTTCGGTAGTAAGGAATTTCCCTTTAGCAGTTCAAGAATTTACCGTCAGATCTACTGAAAGAAACCTGAGGAAACAAGATGATAATCTCACATTTTTGAAAATGCATCACTGTAAGACAAATACTTGCATACACAACACCATACAATAATTTCTAGGACAGATATTGATGTTTTGATCACGGCAATCATCAAACTCGTGGCCACCAGAAAATCCCAAGATACACTGACCACCTCTCCAAAGAGGAGACCTTGTTTAACAGAAGGTGAGCTCCTTAAGTTATGAAAGGAAACTCACCCTTAAGATACATAAATTGCTTAACTGCTTGAACTGCTTGATTGCTTTGATAGCAGGGAACTTCACTTCGATAGCAAGCACTTCACACTGATAGAGATGTGCATTACAGGATTACCAGGGATAGTCTAGGTGACAAATGACACATACATCTTGAGAAAGAAACATTCCTGAAATGGAGACTGGGCCTGCAAAGCTTTTGCAGTATTTTTCTACCTGGTCTAATGTTAGATGATTCCCTGACTACCGGAGGGTTTGTACTATGCCAGGTTTATCCCAGCTCAAGCAACAGATTTTTCTCTCTGACTGCAGGTCACATTATCTCATGAATGAACTGTTATTTAGGTCAGTAAAGAGTCTCCCCTAATTGAATGTGCCTTTTATTCCTGGTGCTCCTGCTCTATATATCAAGATTTTAAATCATATTTGGGGGGTGGGGAAGAGATTGGTATGAGGAAGCAAAAGGGGATTGAGACATTTATATACTCTATTTGAAGCAGAACAGGTCAAAATACCTGAATAATTTTAAATCTTTCACTCTTAAATGATGGGTTCACTATGGTTTAACTGATACCACTTGCTTAGCTATTACTTCTTCCACAGTGTTAAACACTTTTTCTCCCTTAACAAGAAATGCTGTTTGATTTTAAACTTGAAGGTTACTGTTCCAGAAAAAAGAAAAGCAATGTATTGTTTCTTTCATCATAATAGGCAAACAAACAAAAATAATTCCTTGGTTGTAATAACCACAGACCACTCTGAAGGGAGTGCTGGTGGGACTGGCCTGCTGAAAACAGTCAATTAATCTAAATGTGGAACGTAGTTAAAGAGAAACCAAATCCACAAATCAGAAAAAGCATCAAGCACTGTGAAATGATTTGGAAAACCTAGCCCAGATCTAAGAATCAGGTTAAATCTGTCAGTGAAATGAGATGATTCTGTTAATTGTGCATTTAGACTTCGAGAAGACTCAATCTTTTGCCCGAAACAACAAGCATAAACTCCAGAAGGAGGGGATCAAGTCTCTCCCAAGCAGATGCTGGGAATCATGCCTGACACGCAGCAGACCCTTAAAGTATCTGCTGAAGGCACTCAGGAATTAGTTTCCTGTAGTTCAACTGAGTGAATGCAACTCCACCGATAAACAGCACACTCCAGGAGCTACAAAACATCAGATTATCCATGCAGAACGCAAAAGGCATCAATCCACTCCCCTCTGGAAGCAAAAGCCAAAGATGCTCATTGTCACCTTTTAGAGAGTCCAACTTAATAGGGCAGAGACAGGCCTAGGCACAAGTGTCTCTAAAGAATTATTTAGGTGATTTTAATGTGTGGATCAAAATGAAAACCACCAATCTATCAATACAATACTGAGTTCTTAAACCCAAACATTTTTACACGATGTCTTATCTACGTTAAGAATACAAGCAAAAAAAGGGTTTATTTAAAGACAGCTGCCACATTTGTGTAACACTTCAAAAGGA
Source organism: Homo sapiens (assembly GCF_000001405.40). NCBI lineage: Eukaryota > Metazoa > Chordata > Mammalia > Primates > Hominidae > Homo > Homo sapiens. The sequence goes on along the minus strand of NC_000010.11, from coordinate 11,063,626 downwards.
TATGATATTTAGATTTCACATTTAAAATCTGTAACTATATTCTAAGGCATTTTATTGAGTATGAATAAACCTTTTATTTATGATGCTTTAACTTAAAATGTGACCCCAAATTACTCTGAAATAAGAAATGCTATGCACAGCGCTTAGCACACAGCAATGCTTTCAAATAAAAATTGGTAATTAAAATTCTCTAGTTTCAATATTGACATGTATATGTTCCCATGTGGAGATTTTATAGATAAGTCATGAATGTTTGGTAGTAGTCGCCTGACCATCTTAAGTCAACATCTTTCAATGATTTCAAATCACTTCAGATATCAAATGGGGAATAAATATTTCATAGGTAGCCCCCTTCTGTATGTGCCATGTTCCTAAATACTGACATACCTTGAGGATACAGCAGGTTTGGTTCCAGACCATCAAAATAAAGCTAGTATTTCAATGAAGCAAGTCACATGAATTTTTTGGTTTCCCAGTGCATACAGAAATCATGTTTACACTATACTGCAGCAAACCTATTAAGTGTGCCATAGCATTATGTCTTTTAAAAAGTACGTATCTTAATGTTAAAATACAGCATTGCTAAAAATTGCTAACTATCGTTTGAGTCTTCCGCTGCTTGCAATCGTTTTGCTGGTGGAGGGTCCTGCCTCGATGCTGATGGCTACTGACTGATGGCGGGGGGGGTGCTGCTGAAGGATGTGGCAATCTCTTAAAACAGGACAACCATGAAGTTTGCTGCTTTGACTGACTCAGGGAAAATTTTTCTGAAGCATCCCATGCTGTTTGATAGCACGTTGCCCATGTTAGAACTTCTTTTAAAATTGGAGTCAATCCTCACAAACCCTGCCACTACTTTATTAACAAAGTTTATGGAATATTATGAATCCTTTGTCATTTCAACAATGTACACAACATCTTCACCAGGTGTCCATCTCCAGAAACCGATTTCTTTGCTCATCCGTAAGAAGCAACTGCTCATCTGTTCAAGTTTGATCATGACACTGCAGCAATTCAGTCCCATCTCCACGCTCCACCTCTAATTCGAATTCTTTGCTATCTCCACCATACAGGGACTTCCTCCAATGAAGTCTTGAAACCCTCAGTTATCCATGAGGACTGAAATCCACTTCTTCCAAATTCCTGTTAATATTGATACTATGACCTTCTCCCACGAATCATGAATGTTCTTAATGACCTCTAATATGGTAAATCCTTTCCAGAAGGTTTTCAATTTACTTTGCACAGATCCATTAGAGGAATCACAATCTATAGCAGCCATAGCCTTACAAAATATGTTTCTTAAATAAGACCTCAATGTGGAACTTACTTCCTCTCCATGGGCTGCAGAATGAATGCTGCATTAGCAGGCATGAAAACAACATTAATCTCTTTGTACATCTCCACGAAAGCTCTTGGATGACAAGGTACATTGCCAATGAGCACTAATATCTGGAAAGGAATTTTTTTTTCCCCCCCTGAGCAGTAGGTCTCAACCGTAGGCATAAAAAATTCGGTAAACTGGCCAGGCTCACGCCTGTAATCCCAGCACTTTGGGAGGCCGAGGAGGGCAGATCACCTGAGGTCAGGAGTTCAAGACCAGCCTGGCCAACATGGTGAAACCCCGTCGCTACTAAAAATACAAAATTACCTGGGCGTGGTGGCAGGTGCCTATAGTTCTAGCTACTCAGGAGGCTGAGGCAGGAGAATTGTTTGAGCCCAGGCCGCAAAGGTTACAGTGAGCTGAGATCATGCCACTGCACTCCAGCCTAGGTGACAGAGCGAGACTCTGCCTCAATTAAAACAAACAAATAAAAAATTCAGTAAACCATGCTGTAAACAGATGTGCTGTCATCCAGGCTTTGTTGTTCCATTTACAGAGCACTGGAAGAGTACGTTTAGTAAAATTCTTAAGGGCCCAAGGATTTTTGGAGTAGTAAATGAGTAATGGCTTAACTGAAAGTCACCAGTTGTATTAGCCCCTTATAAGATAATCAATCTGTCCTCTGAAGCCAGACATTGACTTCTCCTCTTTGGCTACGAAACTTCTAGATGGCATCTTCCAATAGCAGGCTGTTTCATTTACCTTGAAAAACCTGTTGTTCAGTGTTGCCACCTTCATCAATGATCTTGCTAGGTCTTCTGGATAACTTGCTGCAGCTTCTTCATTAGCACTTGCTGCTTCACCTTGTACTTCTATGCTATGGAGATGGCTTCTTTCCTTCACCCTCATCACCCAACCTCTGCTAGCTTCAAACTGCTCTTCTGCAGCTTCCTCACCTCTCTCATCCTTCAAAGAATTGAAGAGTTATGGACTTGCTCTGGATTAAGCTTTGGCTTAAGGAACTGTTGTGGCTCATTTGATTTTCTATCCAGACCACTTCAATTTTCTCCATATAGGCAATAAGTCTATTTCACTTTATCACTTGTATGTTCATGGGAACAGCACTTTCAATCTCCTTCAAGAACTTTTCCTTTGCATTTACCACTTGGATAGAATGCTTGGTCCAACAGACCCAGCTTTCAGCGTTTCTCAGCTTTTGACGTGCCTTTCTCACTGAGCTTTAATTAATAATTTCAAGCTTTTGATTCTTTAGTCTTTCATTTGAACAGTTAAAGGCCATTGCAGGGTTATTAATTGACCTGATTTCAATTAGGAAATTGAAATTTGGGGTATAGAAAAGCCCAAGTGGAGGGAGAAAGACAGAGAATGGCAGCACTTCACACACAACTTTTATTAAGCTCACTGTCTTCTATGGGAACTGTTCCTGACACCCTGAAACAATTACAATAGTAACACCAAAGATCATGGATCACAGATCACTGTAACAGTTATAATAAAGTTTGAAACATTGTGAAAATTACCAAAGTGTGAAACAGAGATGCAAACTGAGCACATGTTATTGGGAAAATGCTATCGGGAAATGGCACCGACAATTTCAGACAGACACAGGGTCACCATAAACCTTCAATTTGTTAAAAAGGAAAAAAAAGGCAGTATCTGAAAAGCACATTCCAGTGAAGTGCAATTAAACAAGGTGCACCTGTATTCTATCTCCAAGCACATCAAAGGCTGATGACACTGTACTTCTAAGAGCAGCCAAGGAGAGTTTTAAAGACAGGAGCATTGAGGGTAGGCAATGCAGGAACATCTTTAACATCAAGAAACTCCACCATATAAAATATTTCACATACCCTAATTACACTTTTCCTGTAATTAATGATTTCATTCTAATGAGAGAATCTGGCATACTTGTACCTTACTCTTCAGAAGTACAAAATGCCCCTGAATCCTGAAGGCACCACTGACTATGCCGGGAACGGTGCACGCAGAGCTGTCCTATCCAGGAAGTTTTGAGTGGGGTTCACCCATTTCCTAGGGGCTGTATTGAATGGCAAAGTGTATTCCATGTTCTTTCAGGTATGAGAATGCAGTAAAACTGCTGCTGGTACCTCTGAGATCATGGGGCTGTTCAGTGACTTGGTGGGACAAACTAGACTTCAACTCTTCAAATACTGTAATCTCCATTCACAAGGAAGTCAACAGCACCAACTCTCTTACTAGACTTCTCTTCCTCTTGCATTTTGAGCACAAGCCTCTGATTTCAAAGATGTGTTTCTGATACACTTTTAAATAAAAAGAATCCAAGAAAAAGAACTATGACCAATTCAACGGCTTTTGAGCATCTATTCTGTGCTAAGCTTAAGCGTGTGAAAGTTGAAACCTATCCTAATCAGATAAACTCCAGCAATTTAAATGCAAAGGCTCTATTCCCTCCTTCAGGTGCACTATTCCAGGGATTTCAGATATTCAACAAAATTAGTTTGGGGGAGTCCTTCACCAGCTAAGTTTCCTTAAGTGAAAGCACTACCCTTCACTCTTCCAGTGCCTGAGGCTGCGCTTCCCTCTGGCTGATACAAATCACTGCATTTTCCATACTCTGTCCTGATGGCTGCTATCTCGGAGTCTGCAAGGCTATGGGCTTATTGCAATAGCACAACTCTTTCCTTGGACTCCAAGCCTTCTCCTTCAAGGTTTATATCTTTGAGGCACAGAAACAAGAGCAGTCACATGGGATATGTTTTCACCATCTCACCAGAATTCTCCTTCAATCAGCCTTAGCCTTAAAAAGACCGTGCTAGGTAAACAAAACACTTTCCTCATGGTGAGAAAAGGGCCCATTTTCCCTGAGAAACTGTTTGGTAAACGGTCTTAAATTTGCTCCCCACCTTAGTAAAATGGCTCAAACCCTCCCAAATTACCAGGCCAAATGATCAGGTACAGTATAAAGACAAATATACTCAAGCACAGGTTTTCCACCCTAAAACAGACATGCAAGTCTAGTCAAATCAAGTCAAAAAGCCAGGGATTAAGGAATAGAATGTGTATTTCAGCTGACTGATTAAAATGGCATCATGTGATGAGCCATGGTGAAATGAGTCAGAGAGCCTGCGTTCTAGTGATGGTTCTGTTTACTAGTGGAGGGCGCTGAAGTAGCAGTTTGTTAACCATGTCTGTTCCTTGACTCATACATAAAATAGAAGGACAGACGCAATGGCTCACGGCTGCAACCCTGGCACTTTGTGCGGCCAAGGAAGAAGCATTGCTTGAGCCCAGGAGTTTGAGACCAGCCTACGCAAGATGGCGAAACCCCCCGTCTCAACAAAAAAATTAAAAATTAGCCGGACATGGTGATAAATGCTTGTTATCCCATCTACTCAGGAGACTGAGGCAGAAGGATCACTTGAGGCCAGGAACTCCAGGTGGCAGTCAGCTATGATTGTGCCACTGCACTCCAGCATGGGCAACAAAGTGACATACTAACTCTAAACAAAACAAAACAAAACAAAACAAAAAAGCCCGGGCGCGGTGGGTCATGTCTGTAATCCCAGCACTTTGGGAGGCTGAGGGGGGTGGATCGCCTGAGGTCAGCAGTTTGAGACCAGTCTGGCCAACACGGTGAAACCCCTTCTTTTACTAAAAATACAAAAATTAGCCAGGTGTGGTGGTGCATGCCTGTAATCCCAGCTACTCGGGAGGCTGAGACAGGAGAATCGCTTGAACCTGGGAGGTGGAGGTTGCAGCGAGTCGAGATCGCACCACCGCACTCCAGCCTGGGTGACAGAACAAGACTCCATCACAAAAAAAAAAAAAAAAAAAAAAACCAACAAAAAAAACCAACAGTACCTCACCTAATTTGCTTTTATAGGTTGTTGAAAAATAATACTTTATACTTTAACACAGTAAGTTAAGATAAAACTCTTAAAGCCAGAAGTGAAGTGGGATGCAAATATAGTGTAACTCCTTAAAATCAGCCTTTTCCATTAGAAGCACACACCAGGGCAGTGACAGCTATATACAGTCAGACTACAGGAGAATAATTCACAGACAGTACTTAACAATGTTACCGCATGGCTGAGCTCAAGCTAAACTGGTTTAGTATTTTATGCCTACTTGTTTGCAATAAATACTACAACTCGACTGGAACATGCCAGATCCTCCACTGGATCCAGAAGGGCAGGTTTTAACATTAGATTCCGTTTTTTTTTTTTTTTCCTCTTCAGATAATCTATTCCCATTTGGTTGGGCGTAAAGTATTTCCATTTTGCTTAGCCTCTTTTTTCTTTTCAGGCAATCTAAAAGCTAGACTAAAAAAAAATTAAGAGGAAGAAGAAAAAGCTTCCATTTAACATGTCTTGCTAACAGTAGAAAGTAGAACTTCTCTTGCTAAATATAATTGTTCTTTGTGGTAGACCGCTAGCAAATGTCAGAATCTTGTTGGATGCAGTATCTTAAAATGCATCTTTTTCTGGCAATATGGGTTAAAGGGATGATGCTGGGGTATGGAGAAACAGGCTGTTAACCAAAAACATTTTGTGACTCCTGTATTCCCGAAGTCATAATCTGACAATCACCATCCCCACGTTACATCCTTATGCTTAAAAAGCCAGCTTCAAGTACTTCATCGGGGGGAAAAAAAGAGAAAACATACTACGTCAATGGCTTTGAGCGTATAATCAGTGTTTGTATCCATAAAGGCCAAACATTCTCTTTGGATCAACACTTATTCAAATGCTATCCTCCCCCACAAGGCCGTGGCTGAGGCTCCTTTGTGAGAGTTCCATGGTGAGTAGTTGTTTATATCAGGCTATGAACTTGTTTTCCTTTTTCTCCTGTTTTCTCTATAGATTAATATTTAGCAAAATGAAAATCTCCTCCAGGTGTTTACCTGGCTGTATTTCAAGGCATTCTTAAAATCACTGTTTCCTCTGGCACGGGTCATGCTAGTAGAGCAAAAGCATGTGTTAGTTGGGCTGGACCACCCCCCACCCCACACATCCCCTACCCCTCTAGAGGCCCAGGCATCGCTCTCACAGGCAGGCGCACCTCGTATGACCCACACTGGCTCATTAGCTTCTGTTGCATCTCATGGAAGTCGGGTCTGGGACTTTTTGTTCTTTCAGGGGTTGTATCTGCTGCCTCTGGAGGTTGATTTTTCATCAGGGCAAACTGTTTCTCTGTTACACAGATGGTACCAGGGCCTCCAGGCACGGCTGCTCACTAATTGCCCCAGCACAGCCTCCCCTCCAACCTACCAACCTGGAATTCATTTGAGAGCAGGTGACTGGACACTTCACGCAGCGGTTCTTACTCACCCCTCCCCCAGAAGCATGTGGTTAGAAGGTTGAACATGGCGTGGGATTTTCCTCCTGTGGGCCTTGCCCTTCCCTGCACAGACTTCCCCCAGTACTATGACTTCTTTTTCTGGCATAAGTTTTCAGAGTTATTGCTAATGGACACATTTTCAGACTTTGATTAGAATGCCTGATCAATCAGATTTGCTTCTAACACTGGCTCTTAGTATCTTCTTCACCTAAGATAAGTGGTCTACTATCTTCATGAAAATGCATCCTCTGATCCTGCTTCATCTTAAATGTTTCACAAGGCTCATTTCTACCAAGAAATAAATCAATATGCTTTGTAAACATTTCATTCTACTCTTAAAATTTATAATCCTTGACTCCCTTCTTATACGATTCAAATACCTTCCCTTTCTGCACAAGAATTCCTCTAAGATCCAACCACATCCATCTTTCTTGCTCTCTACCTTAGTGCATTTTATGGAAAGTATGCTTATAATTGCATCTTACAATTCTCTTTATCTTACAGTGAAACTATCAGTGTTGAAAAGCTCATGCAAGTGTAATAAATTATTACCTGATTGATTATCAACTACAGAGCAAGCTATTAGGCACCTATTCCTAGCTATGCATCTTAGAAAAGGCAGACGTGATTTATAAAAACATCGAACCACTCATTTCCTGCAGAAACAACAAAGCCTCATTTAAGGAATAACCCCACAAATATGACTGAGTGTGAGAGGGCATATTCTATATGCAGAATGAATTATTAGAATGATTATGAATACATTTTAAAGAGCTTTATAGAATTGTGGAATATAGGGTCCCATATTGCACACACACTTCTACCTATAACAAAAATCTCCAGTTTCCATCAGAGGGTTTATCTATACATGGGCTCAGCATTCCCATTTTCAATGGACAAACATGCTGAAACCAATTGTTTAAAACAAACAAATGCACTTTCTAAATGCACTTCTTGGATTTAGGCCATTGTCACAAAATCACTACTCTTCTCTGTGGCTCCCCTATCTGCTTTTAAAGCTTTGTTTTCAAATACAAAAGCAGATTTAAGCATTGCTTGTAGTGAGTGCTGTAGATGGGATTTAAATAATACAGCAGTTGGGACTGAAAAGGAACCTTTAGAAATGGCTAGATGGGGGATACTCCAGATGGGGAGAGGGAAAAGAAGAAAAGACTCACATGTAAGAGCTTTCAAGATGGCGGCCACAGCACTTGCACTGGGCCTACAGAATAGTCTGCCGTGCCTTCCAGACGCTATCAAGAGTTTGGGAGAGCAATCGGGATCAAAATTAGGCCACATTTAGCAAAGAATGTCTTTCCACTTCAGAAACCACTGCACAGAATATCAGGTTTAGAACGAATCTTAAAAACCATCTAAGCCAAGAACATCTATCCCAGTCACTCATAAGTGTATGAAGCATGAGGGCACAGGGATGAGGAAAGATTCTGAAAGGAGAAATGCACCTGAGAGTGCCTATGGCACCTGTGTCTCCACATTAAAACTATTCCCAGGAAAATGATACTCGGTCAGCCAAATAGTTCCCTTTATTATTCTTTCTCTCAGTTTTTCTGACTCAGAAACACAGGAATCTGATCCTGTTCATGAAATGCAGATTATGAGGAAACTGTAGTACTAGATACAGAATAATGGGTATCAATGTGGACTTGTAAAGGCATTCTACAAAGGTATAGTCTACCTATCTGCTTTGTGTTAATGTGTATTTGTCTTTCACCTAGTGAAGTACACCAGGAGAAAATACATGTGAAGTATCAGTTAATATCTGTCCCATCAACTTGTTTTCCAGTTATTCTGGACAACTGAAATTTGCAAGAATAATACATTAACACATGAAACACAGGTTATGAGCATTACAGTAACATCTGTAATTCAATCAATTTTCAAAATCTACAACAGCTCAAAACTTTCTCTAAAAGAATACACTAGAAGCCGGGTGCGGTGGCGCAAGCCTGTAATCCCAGCACTCCAGGGGGCCGAGGCAGGTGGATCATCTGAGGTCAGGAGTTCAAGACCAGTCTGGCCAACATAGTGAAACCCCATCTGTACTAAAAATACAATAAGTAGCTGGGATTGGTGGCGGCCGCCTGTAATCCCAGCTACTCAGGAGGCTGAGGCAGGAGCATCACTTGAACCCAGGAGGCGGATGTCGCAGTGAGCCAAGATTGTACCACTGCACTTGAGCCTTGGTGACAGAGCAAGACTCCAAAGAAAAAAACCACTAGAAAAGAAAGTCTTTTTCTTCCCTTAACAATCTTAACTCTCCTGTCGTGACTTTCATTTGACCTTCATGTTTCACATCAGTCAGTGCCAATCCACAGACTACACGTCCACCAGAGTGTCCTGTAGGCCACTATGAAATGAGATAAAGACAAGGTCAATTCTTCATAAATTGACATTAAGTTAAAAGACGGTCCTATTAACACACACACACACACACACACACACACACACAAACACACATACACAGTTGTTTTCTTCTTTAAAAAATTATGATGAAAACTGATGATAGATTTTTTAAAAATATCCTTGCCAAAATAAAATCTTAGCACCTTACATATGTTCCTCCAAGTCTAGGAACCATTGCCATAAATATCAACCGCCTCTTCCTCGTGAGACCACAGTAACTATGGGATGATACAATAAGGGCAAGATGAAAGATCAAAGCTTTGGTGAAGGAAAGATAATGGAATAAAAGACACGGCTGTGTATCCTGTAATTACCACTATACAAACAGGCATCAGCTTTGTAGTAATAATCGTAGAGCATTTATTCTGCACTTCCTATATGCCAGGCTTTTTACTCTTTTATGAACAACATCTCACTTGTCACAGCTTGAGGCTGTAAGTTGAATTATGTGTTGCTTACTAAAGATACTGGAAATTATACATCAAAATTCATTTTGGCTATGTTTAGATAGTATCAAAATGGGGTATTTTCCAAAATTAGCAAATATAGTTTTATTATTGGTAATAATATCATTAATAAAAACGATAAACAGAACTGACAAAAGTACATTCAAGAAATATCAGGCCGGGTGCGGTGGCTCACACCTGTAATCCCAGCACTTTGGGAGGCCGAGGCGGGTGGATCACGAGGTCAGGAGATTGAGACCGTCCTGGCTAACATGGTGAAACCCCATCTCTACTAAAAATACAAAAAATTAGCCGGGCATGGTGGTGGGCGCCTGTAGTCCCAGCTACTCGGGAGGCTGAGGCAGGAGAATGGTGTGAACCCGGAAGGCGGAGCTTGCAGTGAGTGGAGATCACGCCACTGCACTCCAGCCTGGGCAACAGAGCAAGACTCTGTCTCAAAAAAAAAAAAAAAAAAAAGAAATATCAGAGTATGCCTACGAATGCCCAAATAGTCTTTTTTTTTAAAAAATGTGTGTTTCTTGGAACAAGAATAACAAATTTGTTGATGCAAAAAATTCTTTTAGCCTAAAAATGGAAGAGTTAAAGAGAAAAAGTATTTCCCCCTAATCCATCCACAACACATACTTGAAACTGATTATGACTGTGTTTGAATGCATTTTGATTCCTTAGCTATGCCTCTCAGGTGAAAGGACCAATGGCAAGAGGAAGCAGAGGATTCATGCACTAGAAAATACTGAGAGAGATCAGAGTATTCTGTCTACTTCACTGAAGATATGGTCTATTGAGGGAAAACTAATTAACAGTTGATCCAAGGAACAAAAGAATGCTGTTATGTGACATTTTGTTGGGAAACTGACTGTAATAATAATAAAACAAATGTCCAGAGAATGTGTCACATAATTACAGTGTTTATGGTTGATAATTCAAAGGCATAGATGAATTGGATTCTTCTGCAGGTCTCCTTTACCCTGTGAGTACAACTTACTTTGCTATAACCTTGGTTTTCCAGAAAATAAATTTTAAAGTAATGAACCAATACTACAAGATTAAAGAAGAAAACATTTAAAAAAAAAACTCAGGCTGTAATCAAAATGGAAGTTAAATAGAATAACATGACATTTCACTCTAAGGACAAGAAGCTCTGAAAAGTTAGTATGGACCAGTTGTGTGATATTGTAGGAAAATAACATTTTGACCTGAGAAGCCCTCTACTACATGATTTACTGGTTCCAGTGCCTGAATCCACTTCCTTCCTCTTCCCAGGATATGGTATCATCCTGTACATTCCACCATAATAATGGGGCCATCTACTTGCAGAGTTACTGCTTGGATCAAACAAGATAATGAACAAAAAAGACCTTTCGTTGTAAAGGATACCATCATACAAGGTTACCGTCAGAGAAATGTGTTAAGGATCGGCAGAAGTGCCAACTAAACACAAAACTATTGAAGGATGTAAAGAAAGGTATAGTTTACCTAATTGCAGTTAGCTTTTCATTTTTCAATACGGAACTGCTTGGTTCTGAACAGGACAAAAGTTCATCTGATAACCCACAGGACATCACCCAAGGACCGTGCAACAATGATCATCTAAGGAAACAAGCATCAGCATCTGAGCCCAAACAACCTACAGGTCAGTAACAGCATAAAGAAGCTTCAATCTCAGGTGTCTGCATCAAGCAAGGTTTAATCATAGTAACTAAAAAAATGAATTATCTGAACTAACTTTGGCAATGTCTTTGAAAAAAGGTAATGATCTCTACTGGTTGTCTTCTCAGACTTCCCTAAATGTTCTACAGACACAATTTAGCAAAAGAAAGTATTAAGAACAACAGCCTAGAATGGTGGCTCATGGCTGTAATCCCCACACTTTGGGAGGCCGAGATGAGCAGATTGCTTGAGCCCAGGAATTCAAGACCAGCCTAGACAACATGGCTAACACCATGCCCAGCTAATTAGGCATTTTGGGGCTCATGACAAGACTGTAAAATACCTAATTAGCCAGCGTGGCATTGCACACCTGTAGCCCCAGCCACTTGGGAGGCTGAGGTGGGAGGATTGCTTCAGCCTGGTAGGTGGAGGTTGGAGGTTGCAGTGAGCCAACATTGCTCCACCGCACTCCAGCCTGGGCCACAGAGACCCTGTCTCCAAAAAAAAAAAAAAAAAAGTATTAACAATACATACACACACAAAAAAACAAAAACCTGCCAAAGTCTAGGAAGCAGTTAAGATCATTAGATTGTATGGTTAATCCTACATAGTGGGCAATGTGAAGGTATTTTATATGAAGCTCAAACGTTTCATCTTCAGTGAAGCCTTCCTTGACCAGCTTTACCACCAGTCAAATCGGGTCCCCTGTGCATACATTTTAAACTAGCTTGTAATTGTATCTTTGTGTGATAATCTGATTAACATCTGTCTCCCTCTCAAATTGGAGTTCCATGGAGGCAGTCACCGTATCTGTTATGAAACCTTAGCACATTGTGGTGCCTGGCACTTAGGTGTTCAACATACTGTAAATGAATAAATCCAATGCAATACTTGATCGGGCAGGCATCAGGCTGAGTTTTATAAACATGGGCTGTTTAGGTTGTTGGTACAGTTTATGTAAGCCAGACGAGCAAGAGAGGCAAACTCAAAGGAATATAGGCTAAGGATACTGCCAGATTTAAAATATTTTCCATAAATAATACATAGGTGGATAATCAAAAGAGAACTCTATGTTTTAGTTGTTTTCAATATTTAACATGTAAGGAAGCATTTCAAGTGAAATGCAGTAAAAGATGTTTTCAAGATAGCATCTGTATCACTGTCTGGCTCCAATACAACTTTTCTTCCAAGAAAGAACTAAAAAGCTAACCTTTTCAAGAAAGGTTATCTTTCTAAGAAAACCTAGAAACCAAAGACTATAGAGATTGAGCTCACAATCCTTACCCCTCCCAGACCTGGCCCTTCCCACAGCGAAGAAGTGTCCCCATGCTTTCAAGAAGGCAACATTAGATCTGTCAGCTTTCATGCATCTTGATCTAGCTGCTAAAAATAGAACTGGTCTTGGAAAATAGGCGAGGTTTTCTCAGGGTTCGGAGTTTTATTATTATCACTCCTTTCCTCACAGTGGAAGCTTTATGGAGGAGGATTCAGGAGGAAAGCAGGGAGGCAGGCAAACAAGAGGCCCAGTGGGCGAGTGAGTGAATGGTAGGGGAGGAGAGGGCCTGTGCTCAAGCATAATCTGCAGAGCTCTGCATGCAAGGCAGGGAAGGGCAGCCCCTGGGTATTGTGAGAAGAGGCACAACCCCATCAGACAGGCCTTAAGATCTGTCTGGCAATGCAGGGTGGAAGGGATTGGTGACAGAGAGAAGACAGGAGGCTGCACGATCATCTGGAGACAGAGTGGTGATGTTGGAATGGAAAGGCAGGGACTGATGGGAGATCACGGAAACAGGCCCTACAGAGCTAAGTGCTCAACCCAATATTAAAGAGTAAGAATGCACAGAAAGTGTCTGCACGTAGCTATGAATCCAAGATGACTGGCTCCCCACCAGCAGCAGGAGCTGCTACAGTCCAGCAGAACCAAATTAGAACCGACACTCCATGTTCAAGCCAGGCCAGGTTCCAATAATACAAATGTCTTCTGCTCGCCATGACTTCTGCAGCAGTGTCACTCATCTCACGCATGTCCCAGAAGTATCTGAAACCCAAGCCCAAATAATGTCCAGACAATGTAGTTTAATGATTTTTAAATGTTGCATTTTCTTTCACCATTTAAAAGAGATCAGTGCAAGCAGGATGTTTTTAAGCCCATTACACTGGACTTCTCTCTGAACACTTCACGGACAAAGAGTTCGGGACACAAATACTGTTCTCTTCTTAGAACGCCACATTTTCTGTGGCTCATTAACTCTTCTCAGTGCCATTCAGTTCCCTGCCCTTAGCAGGAGGCCAGTTTGTCAGGAAACCCAGAGGGAGCAAGAAAGCTGGAGCTGCCCAGCTGAGCCACACATCCTGATGAAACTATTTATCATAAATACTGCCTGCCCCAGAAGGCCCTCTGAGCACCTGACAGGCCACAGGTGGCATGTGGAACCAGCAGGTGGCATGGGGAACCAGCAGCAAGTGTTTATGGTGCCCCTGAGCATGCACACGGGCAACGGGGTCCCCGAAGGACACTGCCAGTCCTCCGCAGTGGTAATGTTCTGAGGATGCATGAATGACACTGTGTTCTCCTCCTCCCAGCTGTGAAGGTGTGTTTTGTAAGCACTGTCACACTTAGCACTCCCCGCCCCACAACACCCAGAGTGCACATACAACCCATTTAAAGAAAAACAAAAAAATAACCACTACAAGGAGGCAGGCAAGTCATTATGAGTAACCATATCTCTATGGCCCTTTCTAGTCCAAATTCTCTAAGTATGTGCCGGAAGCGTGAGGTAGTACAGAAAAGGGGAGATGCAGAAACAAAATAACATTTTGAGAAAAAAAATTAGTATTTTTTTTTTTTTTTTTTTTTTTTACTAAAGAAAGGGATAGGAACAAATAAGTTGGGAGAAAAAGGGAACAGGAATGAAGATCAGAGGTCCCGGTTCACATTGTTTTCACAGACTACGTCCTTGACCTCTCCCCCATCTATTTTCGACATAAAATGATTAGACGCAAACAGGGCATCTAAACTAGCACAATCCTGTTGACATTAGAATACACGAGTAAAACGACTATAGGATTCACCACACTGGACCACACCGTAATAATCTCAATAATTAAAATATTACTAAAAGTCAATTTGCTGAGATTCTCACTTGAGGCTTAACTTAGGAAGTTGTAAGGAGAAAAAAAGACAGGCAGTTTTAAAAAAAAAAAAGATGGCATACTAACAAGTGCAGCTATTGAAAATATCTGGAAGGCTAAGCTGATTTTTTTTTTAAGCAAGGAAAAAGACTTTTTTTTTTTTTAACAGAACAGTTTGTTCAAGGTTACATAAGAACATGCAGAAAACAAGTGATTTCCTTCTTGCCAATTTCTCATGGTAATAGGTTACACCCAAGATCCCACTCAATTCTGTACATATTTTGAAGCTCCTCTGGCTTCTAATACATGAATGCAGTATCCAGAGACAAAGACGGGGCTGTAAAACACCTAATTTCTGTTTCCCTGACAATTCCAATGATGTTGTGCTCCCTGTCACTCATTTAAATTAGGTATTCTGCACTCAGAGTATTTACATGTAATGCACTTATGTGCACACACACTTTGGAGTTTTTAACCAACTAATTCATACACCTACATTTGTAATTACAGTCAGTGAATAAGAACCAGATTGGCTGAGATGGAAAATGACAGTGCTCTGTAATGTATCCAGTTTATAAGTTTGGATTGCCCCTCAAGAAAAGAGGAAGACTGTGTTCTTAGATTCTACCTTAGGTGTTTTATGAATGCGTTTTCACAGCTTAGTGGATCTTACCCAGCGTAATGGTGTTGTCAAACAAGGGTGGATCTAACTCTTCCCAGATGTCAATATATTCCTTACACGGGAAGTAGAGGTGGGATAAAACAGAAAACCAGGATTGGTGGCACGGGAACATTTACTGTCACAAATAACCATCCTGGAATTAAAAGTTAAACTACAATACCCTAGGTACAGTAACGCAACCATCTGATTATCAAGTATATGTCAGGTTCATCTCTCACTACTTTTATATACGTAATACTGAGAAAGCTAAAAATGCATATTCTGTTCACTGCCAGTTTTTAAAGCAGAGGCAAGAGCCTAAATGCAAAGGGGGAAAAAAAGGTCAACTTTTCTATTGTCAAGAGTGTTAATAACCTGCAGCTATAAAACTCTCCCTCTTTCCTTTGACAGTGTCGTAGAGATTAATAACCTCCACAGTTCAAACTATACTTTCTTGACATTTTCTAGTGACTGAGAAAAGCTACATTGCAGGCAGAGTATCACTAACTGGAATACAGCCTTGGGGAGTGTTGAGGGGAGGAGGTGTGGGCCAAACAATGAACCTGAGAAGAGAACAAACTGGCAGGGAACAATTCTTACATTTGGAGAGAGGGCTTCAGGGGCTTGTTTAAATTATGAATGAGTGAATCTTTATTATGATATTTAGTTCATTTTTCCATAATTTTGAAAGTTGACATCTAGAAGAGAAAAAAATTCTTCAGGTTTGTCCCAAAGTATTTCACTCTAGAAGTGCATGTGGCAACAGTAACATGATGGGTAAATTAGACAAATAAAACTTTGTCTAAATATAGGCAACATAAGAATGAAAATGTCTATATCCCAGAAAAATTTAGCCTGAAATCAGTATTCAGGAAAGGCACTGAGGTCTTCAGTAGTGAGAGAACTACTGAATAAACAAGATCTCATCACTACTTTAAATCTTCTAAAAATAAATTTTTTGCTTCAAAAAGGAGTTGAAATTTTGCCTATTGAATCTACACAGAAAAGAGCAGCTTTAATACCTCTGAGGCTTCTTTAGGAATCAAAGACGATGCTATAACGTAGGGATTTTCACACAGTACTTCCCAAAATCTGTTCTGCAGAACAGCAGCATCAGAAGATGCCATGGTCAGAGACTCTAGAAATCGCTCTCTTCCATACCCACAATGCACAACAGCCATATTAAAGATCCTGACAGCCCTGAATTAAAGATACCTGTTTATTTTGCTTAAACCCGAGTTCACTAAGCTTGCGTTCTTTTTGCCATAGAGACCCTTTCATCCACAGAACACCCTCCTAGTGTCCTCCAGGGACTCTACTTTGGAAAACACTCATCTCAAAACTGAACTCATGGGTTGGCTGTGAGTAAAGCACTAAAATTATACTCAGAAATTTAGTGGAAAAGATATTTACAGGTCTTTAATATCTTTGTATAGGACTGTATTCCCTTCTAAGTAGCAAGGACTCAGTGGAAATGGAAACTTAGAGATTGTTTTTATCTGTTTTCATGAAGGAAAACATCATTTTCCTCTAAAATGCTTAAATAGGAAGAGTTTAAAGGATGTGCAAAACAACCTCCCCCGCCCCTCCAAAATTCTTTTCTGGTGAAGAAATACTCCAGCGCTCAGACCTAGGAAAATGTGAGCGAAATAAACAATGGGTCTGACAATATAATAATTCCGAACAATCCTTCCTCTACAAGCCCAATTTGTTTTCTATCACATCTCTGGAAATTTTCTTCTCCCCAGTGACTCAAGCACATGTTAGCTTAGTGGAGGCAGTTTCGATGAAATTTAAAATTTTAGAAAATAAAGCAACAAGCCAAGGGCTTAAGCTTTATGTTAATAGGGTGTTGAGAAATAGCGAAATGAGATTAAAGACATGGGATTTACAAAAACTCTTTGGGAGGTATGAGAATCCTCATTCCTGTATGGGTCCTGAGGGTTCTGCGGGCTGTTATTAGCGTCCGTCTGAAATGAGTTAGGAAAAGAAAGGGTAAATGAGGAGAACCTTGGAGTCTATGAAAAAGCTCGTACTTCAGGGACCACAGAAGCCATGAAAATTAGCACTGAGCCCACATGCCCAAGACATAAAAGAAATCAGGACAGTCTTAATGAGAATCAGGCAGTGCGCCTAATGAGAACCTTAATATACTTTATCTTCCCTTTATATTTCATTTCGGTGTCATCAGAGGCAGTGAACCAACAAGTACTTATTGAGGGCATACTCTGTGCCCAACTCTGGGCCAAGTCGTCTAGGGAGATCCAAATTGCATCCAGCAGCAGTTGGCAATCTGTGATTTTCTGACCGGCACATTGACACGGGCATCACAATCACCTGGGAACTCGTTAGAGATGCAAATTCCCAGCCCCACCTTGGACCCGCTGAATCGGAACGTCTGGGGATGGGCCCAGCGTTCGGTGTTGTTAGACAAGCGGTGCCGTGATTTTGAGAACCGCTGGCGTGCAGCCCGGTTGGGGAGGCAGGAAAACATTAAACAGCAGCAAATAGAACAGAGCTGGAAGGTGTAGACAGCTCAAGTCAGCTGGTCTCCCTGTATGTTCAAACTCTTCATGAGCGAGTCGTTGCCTTTAAAAACAAACCCTGAGCATTTTAAATTTTGTTTCCTTTCTTTCACCTCTACCCCTAGAGGCTTCAGTGAAAAGAGCAGAGAACATTTGTGAACTCCCATTATTGTAACGATGAAATAAGCACACATTCTAACGGGTATTGTGAGTGTCCTGGCCAGATTAAGTGCCACAGAAAGATCTATTTTTTGTTCTTTAAATAGGCTATAAACAGATATGGCACCTTAAGGGGGTCTCTGTGTTATATTTGTTATATTGCGTTCAGCAGTAGGCCCCGTTCCCTTTTTCAACAAATGGAATGATGTACAGCTCTGGGGAAAGAAGCGGAGGTCATACATTTGCATTTTATTGCTCTACTTATAGCCCTTTTACTACTCTTTACCTGAGAGTCATTCCAGCCTCCCTTTGCCAAAGAATATTTCATCACACATGGTGTTCAAATGTTTTAATAGTAATAATTGCAGTTAACATTTATTGAGCATTTCATTAGGTGCCAGGTACTTTATAGGAATCATCTCATTGAATTCTCACACAAACTTAGAGGGTAGCTACAGTTATTCACCCATTTTACAGGTAAGGACACTGAATATTGGAAGATAAAGTCTCATAGTGACATGTTAAGGTATAAAGTTAATGGCTGGGGGCAGTGGCTCACTCCTGTAATCCTAGTGCTTTAGGAGTTTGAAGTGGGAGGACTGCTTGAGGCCGGGAGTTCTAGACCAGCATGAGCAACTTAATGAGACCCCTGTCTGTATAGAAAAACATAAAAAACTAACCCAGCTCTTAGCCTGAGCTCAGGAGCTTGAGGCTGCAGTGAGCCATTATCATGCCACTGCACTCCAGCCTGGGCAACAGAGTGAGATCCTACCTCCAAAATAAAAATAAAGTTAAGACTCAGCCTTAGGTAATCCTGACTGCGGAACACAAGTTCTCAGTCACAGCATCATATCCTCTTGAATTATTTAGGGTACTGGAAGGCACTGGAACATTATCTTCACCAAAGTTAATATCAGCCTTACTTATTTTTGGCTATTCTATTAAATGGAATAAACAGGCGAGTAGAGGCCTGGAAGGCACTTGAACAATCTGGAATTCCAGGTAACAATGTGCTGCACAGTAAGAATAAATTAAACTATGAATGTGCAATTCAAATACGTGGACATATTTTGTCAATATCCCTTTTGGTATTGTGGTATCATGTTTTAGATAAGATTCTCAACAGCAGAGTCTCATCCTTGGATATTATAAAACTACAAGAGCTCTATGTATATATAAGTGAGATCCTTATTAGAACCACAATAAGATATTATAATATTACAATAGTATATCCTAGGGTATTGTAATAAAAGGCTATTATCGTGTACTTGGCTAATAGGGTCCATACTGTTATAATGTATTAAAACCAGATTGAGTAATAAAAATGACAATATTACCATCATAATCTCTGGTACTTGGTGGGGGGAAACATTTCTCAAATGAGGTCTCAAAGCACCTGCCCAGAATTATTGCAAATTTATATACGAAGAAACTGTGCTACAGAGATTCACACAAATTGATACGTACATATAGAAGTCTTTTGCAAGATGTAAAAAAAAAATTTAAAGCTCACCCAAAATAGGTTGGCAGCAAAGACTGAGTGATGCCAAAAGGGAGAATAAAATAACCTGTTCATTTAACAGTAATTTACTGACTTCCTGTTTTGTGCTAAGAACCGATCCAGGCTATGCAGATATATCAGTAAGCTCAAGAGACCAAGCCCCTGCTGTTTCGGGGCTCCCATCCCAGTAGACAATACGGAAAAGCAACACAAAAGCAAATAAATATGGAGCATTTTGTTAAACGGTAAAAAATGCGATGAAGGGGATAAAGTAAGGTAAGAGGATAGAAAGTGATGGGACACTGTTTTTTTGAGATGATAGTCAGGGACCGCCTTTGGATGAGGCGACTAAGTAGATTCTTAGAAGAAGTGAAGACGCAAAGGCCGTGCCCACAACTGAGGGAAGAGGGTTCAGGGCAGAGAGAAGAGCGAGCACAGACAACCTGAAGAGGGTGTGCTGGCAGCGTCACAGGACAGCGAAGAAGCCCATGTGGGTGGAGCAGAGCAAATGTAAGATGCTGGAACTGCAAGCGGCAGGCGGTCTGTGGCTGTGGGATATTTTAAGGACGCTGGCTTGCTTTCTAGGTATGCGAGGAAGCCACTGGGGGATCCGAGCACAATCTCAAGTCCAGGTGAGAGATGATGGTCGGGTGACCAGTCCAGATGGGAAACATGTGTACTCGGTCTGGGGCGTAAGAAAGCAGTGGCCACAGCAGGAGCGACTGCAGGTGGAACGCGGAACCCACAAGGTTGTTGATGGCCTGGATGTGGAGAATGTGGGAGAAGCAAAGCCTCTGGAGGTCTGCCCGGAGCAGCTGGCTAACCATTTAGTGAGATGGAGAAAGGAAGGACGGGGGATGAGGAGCTTGATTCAGGACACGGAAGTCTGCGATGCAACCATGTAGGCATCCAAGTAGAAAGAGTCCAGCCAGGAGCGGGATATTCAATGCTGGTGTTCAGGGCAAGGTTGAGGCTAGAAACACACAACTGGACTGCATCAGAGATCACAGAAACCAACTGTTCCATTCCTTATAATGGGAAAATGAATATAAGTAATTCCAGACCAATTATTATTTTCTCATGTGTTTTTTCTTCACCCAGCTTTCCTGAAATGCAATGTTGCAGTGAATGGTGACGGTG
Organism: Homo sapiens; assembly: GCF_000001405.40. NCBI lineage: Eukaryota > Metazoa > Chordata > Mammalia > Primates > Hominidae > Homo > Homo sapiens. The sequence continues at coordinate 11,043,300 of NC_000010.11, read as the reverse complement.
AGTCAGGAGACATGAGTTCTACCAGCCCTGGCCCTGCCTAATACCCTCCGGGCTTAGTTATTACTTTCTGTGTCCCACCCTTCTCATTACAAAAGCAAACTTAACTGATCGTGATCCTGGGATGGGCAGCAACAACTGTTGCCAAGGATGCAGCAAGTTGGAACCTCATACGCTGCTGGTGGGAAGGTAAAATGGTGCAGCCACTTTAGACAAACAGGTTGACATTTCCTCAAAAACTATTGCATGACCAAGCAACTTCACTCCTAGGCATATACACAGGAGGATTAAAAATAAGTTTTCACACAAAAACTTGTACTTGAATGTTCATAGCAGCATTATTCCTAAAAGCCAAACCATCTTAAATGTCCATCAACTGAGGAACAAATTGTGGCACCTATACATAATGAAATATTGGGCCATAAAAATGAGGTCCTGAGATACACTGTAACATGGATAAATCTCCAAAAACATCATAAGTTAAACAAAAGCCAGACACAAGAGGCCACATATTATACAATTACATTTCTGTGAAATGTACATGTAACAGGCAAATCCAGTTAACACAGAACAGAGATCAATGGTTGCCTGGGGCTAAGGGAAATTGGGGTGGGGGAGGTGACCCTTAAAGGGTACGGGGTTTCTTTTTTGGGTGATGAAATTGTCCTGGAAAAGATAGTGATGATGGTTGCACAACTTTGTGCATATGATAAAAACCACTGAATTGAACATTTTAGAAGGGTGACTGGCTTTCGTGGTATGTGAAAGACAGCCACAGTCAGGCACAGCTTCTCAGATAAAAAGAAAAGACACACCAGGTTAAAGTCTTACGCTGTCAGAATAAACATCAATGTGAGTCTATGCTGTTAGAAGAAACATCAATGTGAGTCTTCAAAGTCAAGAGAGACCGTTCAATCATCTGTATGCAGCAATAACCAAGATGTCCACCAATTGTACTCTCATTTCCACCTTTGCTCTGACCTCTGCTTCCAAAGAACTCTAACCTTTGACTGCCCAGTTTAAAGTTATTCAACACAAAACAGTGCTGCCAGGCTTTAAAAAGCTCGGGATCAAATATACTGTCTACTGTCGAATAATAACAAATTTGAAAGGGAAGGAGATAAATGTAAGTTTCTTTCTACCATAAGAGAAAACCAACCTCTTGGTAATCTTCTGACAAATCAACACAGTGCTAAGCCCCCAGCTTTCCTTTTCATGTTATTACTGAAATTTTGATCATGCAAAAATCGTTCAACAGAAATGTTCTAGTCTATCCATCTAAGTCTACCCATGGCTAACTATGTACCCATAATTATGCCCCCAATGGGTAGATCATAATATATAATTTTAGTACAATTCACATACATGACAATGGAACTAATCACAGTAATCTAGAAAGAAGTATGCACCAAATATATGAAAATCCCAATAATCTTGACAATTCTTTCGTATATATAGTAATGGGTCTGTGGATATCCAACTATATCAGCTTACAGATTGTAAACTCTCCATGATAGATTTAATTCCACAGGGATTAATGTTATGTCCTGATGGAAGGATCAGAGATCCCACTGGATTCACAGCATGAAAATGGACCCATCTCTTTATATAACTGTCACAGGAAAATGGTCTGAAAACACAATGAGAAAAGTTCATGTAACTTGACTCATCAGAAACTACGAATGAGTTGAGAACTAAGAATTATAAATCATATTGTTAATACGAAGTCTTACCACCCTGATACCATCTATAGCTGCACTTTATTTTTTCATCCTCATTACAAAAGATGGCGTGAGAACTTTCCCTGGTATGACTTTCTGAGTGAACCTGCTCAGAGTTTAAAAGAGAAATCCTGAGGCATGTGTGTTTAGACACCAACACCATTATTCATAGCCAGTGGGTTTCGATACTGTACTACCATTTCCCTAAGTCTTGCCTTAGGTAGTGTCTCCCTCTCTCTCTCGGGATCTTACTCTACATCTTGATACCACCACTGTTTATCATGGACTGACTGTGTCCCCCTAAAATGCGTATGTTAAAGTCCTAACCCCCAACATGATGGTGTTAGGAAGTGGGGCCTTTGGGAAGTAGATTGAGTTGTAGTCACAAGGGCGGAGCTCCCGTGATGGAATTAGTGCTCTTTTAAGAAGAAAAAAGGACACTACAACTTTTTTGAACCATGTGAGGGTACAGCTAGAAGGCAGCCCTCTGCAAGCCAGGAAGAGAGCCCTCACCAAGAACCAAATGTGTCAGCACCTTGATGTTGGACTCCGTAGTCTCCAAAACCTTGAGAAATAAACATTAGTTGTTTAAGTCGTCCAGTCTATGGCATTTAGTTATAGCAGCCCAACCAAAGTAAGATATTCATGGCAGGAGGCCATAGAACAGCAGCTGGCCAGAGAACAACCTATCACAGAGATGGAGCTAAACAGAGGCTTAATGCAGCCCTGAATAATGGAAAAATATTGAAAATATTGAATATTTTTGATAATTTGAAAAAATATTCAAAATATTGAATGGAAAAACACCTGAAAGGTAGAAGGTGAAATCAGTTGGAAGAGAAGAACTCACAAAATCAAAGGGAAATAAAAAATCATTTCCATGAGTGGGGATATAACTTTGAGGATGCAGAGTTTTCCCAGCACCTAGGATGGTAACGGGCACATAAGCAGGCATTTAAAAGCATTTGTTGAACCAAGGAACAACAACAAAAACCATTACACAGGAAAAACAGAGCGACCAACCAGACCAGAACAACAAGGAACTGCTTGGAAGTGCGTCGCTACATAGAAGATACATTAAATAGGTTTCTCCTGGTGGCTCAGAGTTCTAGGCTCCATAATTAAAATTCTGTACAAATTATACCTTTAAAAGTTCCATAAACTATTGTTACTTTTATTATATGATGCAGTTTATCAGCTGTGAAGATGTTATTATAGCAGATTAGGAACTTATTAAACACTAAACATAAGACAGTGTGTTTTCGAAACAGAGACCCTATTTTGCTTCTTCTCCAAAACACTGTCTATATCTTGTTAATGCTTGTTTTGAATTATCTCCATATTGTTGGAGGCCATTCACAGAGAACACAGTTAAGATGGCAGTCAGATACATAAATGAAATGCCACCCTTTCCTTCTGCTTTGGACTGCCCTGAGAATTCTTGAACTTCCTCCTGTCCTACCTTCCCTTATCAACAATCATGTGGTCCCATGATCAGTGGCATGAACATTTTAAAGTTTTTCAAAATTTACTATTTTCCTACGAGACACTGAACTCCCTGAAAATAGGAAGTCTCAATTAAAAAATCAATTTGTCATGGTCCACATAAAGATAATCAATACATTTTGCTCTCAGTCCTTGGGATGGTTTTTGTAAATAATATTAGCTTGACAAAAACAAACAGGAAGATCCCACCCCCAACACATACCACATTCCAATGTTACCTGGAATTAAAATATATACCAACATGCATCTTTAGGTTACTCTGGTCCATGGTTTCCTCCAGTGGCAATGGAATTTACAAAAATGTAAGACGTAATAGATATATAATTATCTTTTTTCCTAAATGAAACTAGCCTTAAAAACTGGTACATAATGTTCCTGGTTCAATGATCAAAATTATGAAGTACACTTAACCTATCTTCCATTGAGTGGCTTTAAATGGAACCTTAAACTGTGACTCAAGAACTTGTTTTCAGTAACATGCATTAGAAGCGTGTAAAGCTTACAAAATAAGATGTGTACGTGGGCAAACATGGGACAAGCAGTGTCTTGTGAAGTAAATAATTAACTCTGAACTCGTTTTAAGGTACTTTGAGTACACACTGTGACCGTGACTACATAGCTCACCACCCTAATGGTATAATTCACACAACCAGCATAAGAAGTAGGTTGGAGGAATAGTCCAAAAAGTACTATGTTATTTAATAGCTTTGATGGGCTACATTTGAGATGAGCTTACATCCCAAATCCTGGCATGGGAGGTGCCCCATGAGAATTGGCCCAGTTCATCTCAGCACCAGCAAAGTGCATTCTCCACTTTTCTTCCTATCTCATCTGATGTGTTTGACCCACTCTGTGCCATACAGGGCACGAAGTGTTGTGGGCAGAAGGCTCACTGCATCACGGTTTCTGCTCTCAGTGTCCTCCACGCTAATAGGAGAGCTGACACAGGACTCGGCTGTTATCGCCGTTACATGGTCGATGCCATGAGAGTGGTGTGGATGCAAGCGCGTGTGCACACTTGTCCAGGATACTGTGGAAGCTCAGGCGCACTTGGCTTAGGGTGGTGGATGGTTGAGGGGATGAAACAAGAAGACTGCTGGCTTTCTACAGGAGGCCCTGCTCCACCTCGATCTCAAAGAATCTGTAAAAATTTCCATTTTTAACTCCAAAAGCAAGTTTAGTAAGTTTCACTGATGCCAGAAGGGTTTTAATAAACATGAATCCAATCAGTATAACTTAAAATAATTATCACAGTTTTAAGCCCACCTATGGGGTTCCAGAAATTTAAATGGTTTTATGTGAGATATTTATACTAATGTTAGAGCACCATTTAAAATAATAATCCTTGACTTTTATCCTACCATCTTTTGTAATATATGATTTATAAATATATATGTGTAATGTGTATGAAATCAGTGCTGAAATGGATATTCAAATTTTCCTTCTAGAATTCATTTTTATAGTGGTGTACTGCATAGTAGTTGATTATTAATAGAAATCCTGTCATAATTCCTACTGTCCCAGTACCATAACTACTACTCTTTTGATGTACTTTGGTAGAAGAGTAATCACTGTCTAATAGGATTAACTTCACACCTTGCCTAAGTCGACAACCAACCTGTATCAATAACTTAATAAGCACTACCGTTTGAAATACCATTCAATTTCACACACCACATACCTCTACCAGTACAACTTGGTGATATAATGCAGCGCAAACCACTTTAGATGCATTCTTAGAAGCATTTTTTCTCTTAGGAATATAGGGCAGAGGCTAGGCAAGAGGACTCCACAAAGGGAAGCCAGGCTACAGATGGAAAAAAAGGAAGTCATTTTTCAAATGAAGCTACTATGTTCACCCCCTGAACGCTGACCTCAGCTCCTCTTTGCTGGTGTGGCTGGGTCCTCTCCGAGGCAGCCATCTCCAGGGAACAGTGGGACACAAAGCATTTCTCATGCGAGCTTCAGCTCCTCTGCCTGTTATCACCAGCAGCAACAATTGGTTTATAACTTAACATGGCTACCTACTAGAGTTCCAGGGAGTAAAGAGCATTTTTACAAAGTCTTACAGAAACTACATACTAAAATCACTGTTTTTTTTTTCCATAAACTTCGGCTTCCCCAAAACAAAGAAATCTCAAGCTTTTCACTTTGCCACTGCTCATTAATTCAACCTATAACCCAATTCTATCTTGCTCTCTACCTTTATACATGTTTTAAAAATTAAATTTAAAATCATAGGACCATGAACTAGAAGCATATCATGACACAGAAGTATCATGGTAAATCCATTTCAAAGTGGAGACTAAAGTGTCAGTAAGAAACTCAACAGCCCAAGCTAGGCCACGAGGAACCTTCACCTCGTACAATACTGAGTCTAATAAATGGATGAATAAACAACTCTCACCGTTCTTTTAGTAAATTACAGAAACCTTAGTGGGGTTTGTTACACTCTTAATAAACTGTTGACATGGGGCTGTGGCCAGCTTGAGCATTCAGCACGTGCCCATCACCAAGCAGATAGACTCCACTATCTACCATGGCTGACTCAAAGCCCAGGCTACTGAGACTGAGGAACAGCTCACCAGGAAACATCCAGATAAAAAGCAAAGATCACAAGTTGAGAAACAGCTTCCCCCTACCTCCACCCCAATCAGCTGAGATACAGTGGTCGATATGGTTTGGCTGTGTCCTCACACAAATCTCACCTTGAATTGTAATGACCCCCACATGTCATGGGAGGGACCTGTTAGGAGGTAACTGAATCAAGGGGGTGGGTTTCTCCCACGCTGTTCTCACGACAGTAAGTCTCAGGAGAGCTGATGGTTTTATAAAGGGGAGCTCCCCTGCACATGTGCTCTTGCTTGCGCCATATAAGATGTCCCTTTGCTCTTCCTTCGTCTTCTTCCATGACTGTGAGGTCTCCCCAGCCATGTGGAACTGTGAGTCCATTAAACCTCTTTCCTTTATAAATTACTCAGTCTCAGGTACATCTTTCTTTATTAGCAGTGTGAGAACGGACTAATACAGTGGGTGAAGATAGAAGCTCTCTAAAAAGGGAAGTATGAGAAGGACAAGGTGAGAGCCAAAGAGTGAGAAGCGCAAGACGCCCACAGTCAGGAGGCTGGAAGAAAGGGGGCATGGAGGGGTAATGAAGGATAATCAGAAAAAGCATCACATGTCACATAGGCCAACAGAGGAATTTTAAGGAGACAAATTGCCAAATACACCAAAGGCACATGGAACACATACTTTCATGACATAAAAAAACAACCAACACCCAGGCCATACTGATGCTTCCTCCCTCAGCCGCCCATGAGGCACAAGCCTATCTGTAAACCCCCAGCGGGCTCTCAGCGTAAAACTAGCAATGGAATAGTAGATCCAGGGATATCATCTTCCCATAGGAGATTGGTCTGAGGAGGCTAAAAGGGATCAATACACCACCAGGTGGCAACCCAGAGCCAAGTATGATTCCCATTTATTTATCTAGGATCTCTAACACTGGATCATAGGAATGTCCAATATGTCAATGAAATGTCTACTTTTATGTTTAGCAAAAGATAAGATTAGGGAAATAATCAGTCCCCACAGAAAGGTAAATATTGAGACTGAAGGAGCCTGTTGCCATTGTATAGAACATACCCTCAATTAGTAACTGTACCTTTACTGCGTAAATGGCTGAAGAAAGTAATTAACGATTAATAGAAGCTGCCCTCAATTTAAAGCCTGGAAGCAAAGTAATTAAATTCAGTAGAAGCTATAGCCTCTAAACAAAGTTACATCGTACAAATACAAAAGGAAACACAGATTTGAATAATAAATGCAAATTAGGAACAAGGTTTGTCTATAAGCTGAAGAGAAATGATCCTAAAATTATCCTTCCTAAGAAATTCTCTATTCAAGAGTCAGTTTATGGACCTGTTTTAATCTTGGCAAAGGTCTGACCTGAATCCTGGCTGATGCTTAAGTACAGCCTGGCTTTCAGAGTATTTACGCATGCAGATCAGACAGCTTCCTGCAGTTTGAATTAGCTGTACAACTACCTCTCACATCAGTGCAGATATACTTGATATATACAGTGTCAACATTACTACCAGGGATGGAGATCACAAACATTGCTTTGCTTGTTGGTCATGAAATAAAATTGCCAAGCAGAATTTGTGTAGCTCCAGCAGGTATATTAATGCAGGCAATACTGTTATCAGCAGTCTTTAGCCTGCCTCTCTAAGCTTCTAAAAGAAACATTTAGGGAGAGGAAGCATTATATCTGGCTACAGCTGCACATTACATGGTCCATTGAGACTCAGATGCTGATGGCTGAACGGAATAACAAACAGCTGGGTATAAATGTAAAAATCAGGAAACCAATTTCAAACACACATATTTCAAAAATCCTCTGAAATTCCAGCACGGTAGGAGAAAGAGCAATTAGCCTTACAGAGTGAAAAAGTATCTCAGATTAAAATTCAAAAATATACCTAGGCACCCCAGGGCCATTAAATCTGGCTGAGCTCTCCTGTGACTCTTTCACAAAGGGCAGTGTTAGAACAAAGGCAGTATCATCAGATCATTTCCTGGCTGTGGTCACGCTTTGGCTGAGTCATCTGAAGCATCTGAGCTGCCTATCCCAGCTTTCCAGAACGGGGAAAAGTTATTAACAGCACTGAATGGGAAGGTTTCCCCAAAAGCCTCATCTCAGGGTCCTCCACATTAAATCCAGGCACCAGGGAAGGGTGTAGAGAGACATCTCCCAGCAGGCTGCTACCATATTAGAAACAACAAATAAACTTGTATTAAATTTTAAATAGCTTTTCTATGTATAAGGATTTAGGTAAGAAGACGGCTTGGAGAAAGGTTAGAATTTTTTTTTTTCCTTAAGGTTTGAAAGTCTTAACCATTTTGGTGGAAAAGTTTGGGTTAATCCCACGCAGAGACTTTTAAACATGGTCACACATTCGTATTTAAGAAAGGCGGTGATAAGGATCAGACAAGAGAAAGGGGACTGTATAATTTATTATCCAAACTTGGACACTTTTAATTCAAAGGAGGATACTATTAATGACGATGCTAGGACAATAGATGGAAGCTGGGAGTATCCCAGCAAACCAGGTCAGCACCCACTTGAGTACCAAGGGCACAAAACAGAGCCTCAGGTTGGATCTCGAATGTCAATCAAGTGGCTGCAATTCCATCCTCTTAATTTCACTGATCCTCATCTACTTGTTCTCAAGATTCCCAATCCCGGGTAAATTACAGAGCTCTGCTACAGAAGTTTAGGGAGCAAAAGGACAGGCTCGATAAAAATCCAGATGCCACTGCTTACACAATTAATTCCATGGATCATACCAGATTCAACCTGACCTAATGGAGCAGTGCACCACCACCACTGCAGCTCTTTTGAATGGGAAAGAACTGCCACATCGCCAGTTTTGATGAATGCTGATTTTCCCCCATCACAAGCTAACTGGATGCTACAGTCCAAATGGCCAAGATCACAGAAGAGGGGCTTCTGTGCACATTTCCACCAATCAACAGTTTCTTCCAGTGTTCTTAGTAATAAGGAACACATGAAATATTTTTAACACATCTAGGAGGGATCTAGACACAGCAAAAAAAATAAAAATTAACAGTTTCTTCCAGTGTTCTTAGTAATAAGGAACACATGAAATATTTTTAACACATCTAGGAGGGATCTAGACGCAGCAAAAAAAAATAAAAATTAAAGATGAGGCCCCATTATAATATTTACCTCACCTGATCTACAGAATAAGGAATGAAGGTCTTAAAAGTTACATCGGTTAATTTCTTGTATCTCAACAAGAAATTCCTTATTAATCCAACATAGCCCCAAAACAACACAGAAGTACAGCTCTTTCTTCATTTTAAACTTGTGTTTCCTTCAAGAAAATACAGGCAAAGTCAACAGGACAAAAGCCCAGAGTCATCAAATATTTAAGCTTGTAATCTAACAACTATTGTTATACTTCATACAATTTTTGTAACACCTAGAACAGCCGGCAGCCACCTAGCACATTATATGAGACTTAGAGACTAAATATTTGTGTTAACAATGCTAAACTGCAACTCTTATTCACTGGCAGACATTTCAGACTTAAAAAAGGGAACAGGTAGTACAGAAATGTTTAGGTTGTTTCCAAGTGACAACAAAACAACTAATCAGTTCAGTCCAACAATAATGGGTCGCTTGTAACTCGTAAGTCCTAAACTCCTCAGTTGTCCAACTTAACTATTCGATCTGCTGTACAGACTGTACAACTGTAATGTATTTTCTGACTCACACTGTATTTACAACACTACAGGGGAATCAATTTGCCACTGTAGGGGCTCACAAGAAACCCTGAGAATTAGATAACTTTAAAAGCTAAATTTACTTTGGTTCTAGTCTAATTACCTTTCTTAAAATAAATTTTGCTGATTGGCTAAGAATCCATGCTATCAAAAGCCCAGGCAGTTAGTCAGATGCCTCAACAAATAACCTGTCAAAAATGTGCCCTGAGGCCAGGCATGGTGGCTTACGCCTGTAATCCCAGCACTTTGGAAGGCTGAGGTGGGCGGATCACCTGAGGTCGGGAGGCTGAGACCAGCCTGACCAACATAGAGAAACCCTGACTCTACTAAAAATACAAAATTAGCCGGGTGTGGTGGCGCATGCCTGTAATCCCAGGTACTCGGGAAGCTGAGGCACGAGAATCGCTTGAACCTGGGGGGTGGAAGTTGCGGTGCGCCGAGATGGTGCCATTGCACTCCAGCCTGGGCAACAAGAGCAAAACTGTCTAAAAAAAAAAAAAAAAAAAATGCCCTGAACATTGAGACAGTATTTGTGATTCACAGAAAGAATTCATGAGATGTACAAATTGAGTTGCCCTCACACCTCACCACTGGACAGTGATATTTGATGAGGAATGTCTATGCCTCAGAATTTTCACTGTAGAGGCTTTGCTTCAAAAGCTGTAACAATCATTTACACAAACAATGAAAACACCCTTGTCGATGCACTGTATTACTCAGAAAGCTTTTCACCTGGACCCCAAAGTTATTTTAACTCCATGAATGTTAATACCTAATTGGTAATCTTTGTATTACAGTACAAAATAGTCTGTCCAAAACCCAACATACATTTGAGTTTATCATTTATGTTAGAAAAGGTAACACAACATACATATTGGGGAACATCTAATTCACTATATATACATTAACTGTTCACAATTTAATTATGACCCAATAAACATTTATTTGGTGACATATCATCCTGTCAGACACAGACACCAGAGAATCAGGAATGGTCTATAGGTTTCCTGAGCAACCTTCGTCAATTATTTATTCTGCTTCTATTTTGGATAAAGCCATCACAATAATTTTTCTTTAAATTTTCCAAGAGTTTGGACTCTACTGGGGCCTGGAAAGTGAGTTACAACATCGTGAGATACCACGTAGATTGTAAATTTCATGCCTTAAAAACAAAACAACGATGCCATCATAAATTCTTCCTCTCATTAGTTTTCCATCCAAAACCAAGGAACATCTATTTCATTAAACAGTTCCTTAGATTTTAAAATGCTACTCAACAATGAACAAAATACTAAGATATAACATGTCAGATTCTCTTATTTTTATTTTTTTAGGGACAGGCTGGCCTCAAACTCCTGGCCTCAAGCGATTCCCCCACCTCAGCTTCCTGAGTAGCTAGGATGAAAGGCACTGAGTCACCCCATCCAGCTAGATTCTCTTTAACAATTTCAAGGGGTTTAAGCTGAAATTAGAAACTGGGTCTCATCTTGTGTCTACAAGAGTAAAATTGACCAGGATGGTTTTCTGGTACCAAAGCCAGGTTCTAAGGACAAAGAAAGAGCCCATGATGTAGTGGGTGGCCCCTGGAAGCAATTTTTTTTTTTTTTTTTTTTTTTTTGGCTAAGCCCTATGTGGAGCTGGGAGATGTAAAGACATATAATGTCCCAGGGATGCAATCGCACCTGCCCCAAGAAGGCATGCACCTCAACCAACTTTCTCAACTTTGCCTATCATGCTTCGATCTAAATCAAATTGTGTTTGTTTCACAGGGTGGAAATAGAGGACTTGTGTGAGGAGGTGCCACTGTGATTGAGTCAACAATGGAGCAAATGAAGCGCTAAAAGGGTAATAGCATTTTCCTCAAATTATACGATCATCATTGGAAACCCAGCATTTTGACAAAGTGTTCAAACATCAGAGAATGGAGTTAGTATCACGTAGTTGAGAGCCATGGTATTGGGCCTTACAGTCTGATTTCTGAAAGCCTTATAATGAGGGTGGAGTGAATATACATTCCATTCTTTGGCTGTATTTTTGTTCCACAAAGCCTGCAATTTTCAGTCACTTGAAAATGTAATTATAGATAATGTTTGCATCAGTAGCAAGAATACAATAAGCACACAGGGCATGAAAACTCCACTCAAATCACATCCTCTTAGGTTATGGCGCTTGTGTCCTGCCAAGAGTAAAGGCATTTCGACAAGCTAATGTTCAGTATGAAATGGTTTGTGGGTTAGGCCAACCCATGCATGAATTCTACTCTAACTTTTCTATTATCCCTTCCTTTACATTGGGTATCTAGAAGTAGACAGAAATTTATGATTTGCTGAAAACACAGAATCCCATCAAATGTTTATGCACTTGAGCACAAAGCTGTGGAGTGGCTGAAAGTGTAATGATCCTTGAAATGGACCAGGTACCACATGTCAGCTGGCCACAGCTGTCCATCATTGAAACTCCACTGATATCCTGCATAGAGGCTCATTTATTCTATTGCCTACTTACGAGGCCTACTTAAGGAGGAGGGAGTAAAAACGGATGTTACTGTAGAAAGGATACTGCATAAGGTCATCAACTGAGGTGGGCTGTGGGGACAAAATGCCACCTGAGAACCATTTTCTAATTCACAAGAAGGCGTAGCGCCACCTGAGAAGGCCAAGCATTCGTCTAAGTCATATGCAAAAATTTTTAAGTTGGAAGTTAATGGGGGAAAATGCCAGGTGTCTAATGAAATCCTCCAAAGAAACCTCTTCATAAAATATACCGTTATCATAAATGAAGAATAAGTGTCCACCTTAGCAGTCAATGTTAATTGCTTCTTTATCTTGGCAGTAAGTGAGAATCTGCCTCAGGCATTAAGAGATCTTGACACTGCTTGGGTGTCCCCATCCACTGACATGTCTCTTACAATGCTCCTGCCTTCCAGCCTCAGAAATTGCTCTATGAAATACAATCAAGAAAAAGCAATTTATGTGGAAGAGCACAGAACAAGTAGAAGATTGCTGGGTCATAGCTAAGAACCTGTATTTCACACTCAAAACCCACATATTCAGCTGCCAATATGCCCACCTATCCAGAAACTCAACCTGTTTACACCAAAAAATCCTCAAGAGACTTGCAGGCAACCTCAGGCTTTGGAAACGAGGAACAGAGGTGCAACCTCAGGCTTTGGAGGTGAGAAACAGAGCTGCAACCTCGGGCTTTGGAGACAAGAAACAGAAGTGCGACCTCGGGCTTTGGAGACGAGAAACAGAGGTGCAACCTCAGGCTTTGGAGATGAGGAACAGAAGTGGGACCTCGGGCTTTGGAGACGAGGAACAGAGGTGCATCCTCAGGCTTTGGAAATGAGAAACACAGGTGCAACCTCAGATTTTGGAAATGAGAAACAGAGGTACATTTTCGAGTTTTCAGTACCACCACCTTTTAGAACCTCAATATCCTCATTTGTGAGATGGAAATGACACAAATTATTGAGGAAATTTTTTCTGAGAATTATTGATAAAATATAAACTCCTTAGCCTGATGGCTGGCCCATGGTATATCCTAAATCAAGAATAACTAATCTCATAAAATAGTTCAGAAAATGTAACCACAGGAAGGCAGCATCCCTTAAAGTGTTAGTAATCAGAATTAAAAGAAACACACACCAAAAAGCAGCGTATGATTGGCAAGGAATTAGTTTGGTTGACACTGGAAAATGTTTTCTGGCTTCTGGGGTCTGCACGATTATTACTTGAGCAGGCATCTGGAAACAAATCTGGAACAAAAGTAGCACATCCTTAGGAGACCTGAAAAACGAGACTGAGAGAGAGGCAAGATAAAAGTGTGGCCAATCACGTGGCTTCTGAGGTGACAAAAGTCCAATTTTGGTCACTTTTTACAACAGGCAGATTTAAAACTGTTGGCCCAACTGAAAGTCTGCCTATAAAGTTAATCAGACTTCTTGGACATTGATAAGAGAAAAAGTGCTAATTACAAAGTACCAATTAATTTGTACAGAAACATTTGTAGTATCTGTGTGGCTGGCCCTCTTCTCCAAAGATTTTGCCAGCTTTCAGCCACAGACCTAGTTTTCCCTTCCCAAGAATCTCAGCAACAACAGTCATCTTTGATATTGCCAAAGGCCCCCCTGCCTCCAGCAAAGTTCCCTGGTTCACCCTAATGCAAAGTGCTGTGTGATGAGAGGCAAGAGTCTGCATTTTGGAGGTCACATTCACAGCCCAGAGAGCTTCTCCACAGTCAATATCACACTCTCAGCTACAGTAGGTGCCAAATATTCCCCTGGCCCGTCGTGGAGGATATTCCTCAACAATGGATTCACACACCGAGGCTTTAGGCTTCCAAACAGAATCTGTGCTGTCTGATCTAGGGCATCAAGTCACTTGCAGCACTGGGAGCAAACTGTCACATTCTGTGGAGACTCTGATCTCTTAGCACTCCAAAGACCCTATCAGCTACATCAGAATAAAGAAGTGCCTTTTTTATTAACCACCAAAATAACCAGGACACACCCTGCAGCTGGACACCACATAGATGCTACAGATAACCCATACCCCAAACCCCTTGTCTTAACCCTACACCACCACATAAGGCAAAAATCACCAATTCCTTGTCTAGGTCATTTCCCCAAGGACTCTCTCCATCTACATCCTCCAGGCATTCTGCGGCCTGAGCACCTTATGAGGCCACCCAAGGCTGCCAGGTCTACAGACCTCTCTGCTCCATATTCATACCATCAAAATCGTGTCCTTGGCCAGGTGCAGTGACTCACGCCTGTAATCCCAGAACTTTGGAAGGCCAAGGTGGACTCACCACTTGAGGTCAGGAGTTCGAGACTAGCCTGGCCAATATGGTGAAACCCCATCTCTATTAAAAGTTCAAAACAATTAGCCAGGTGGGGGCCTGTAATCTCAGCTACTCAGAAGACTGAGGCAGGAGAATCACTTGAACCCAGGAGGTGGAGGTTGCAGTGAGCCAAGATCGCACCACTGCACTCTAGCCTGGGCAACAGAGCAAGATTCCATCTCCCAAAAAAAAAAAAAAAAAGGCTGGGTGCGGTGGCTCACACCTGTAATCCTAGCACTTTGGGAAGCCAAGGCAGGTGGATCATGAGGTCAGGAGTTTGAGACCAGCCTGGCCAACATGGTGAAACCCCATCTTTACTAAAAATACAAAAAATTAGCAGGGCATGGTGGCGGGCGCCTGTAATCCCAGCTACTCGGGAGGCTGAGGCAAGAGAATCACTTGAACCCAGGAGGCAGAGGTTGCAGTGAGCCGGGATCGCGCCACTGCACTTCAGCCTGGGTGACAGTGTGAGACTCCATCTCAAAAAAAAAAAAAAAGAAAAAGAAAAGAAAAGAAAAAATCGTTTCCTTAACGGCTGGGTTTCTGCAAGGGTTGTGATTCCCATTATGTCAGAACCAGCCTTCATATCGTGTGGCTGATTCTCTTCCCATAAGAAAATCAAAATCTGGTGTAGAGAAGGGCTTTTCAGAAGGACCACGTGGAGATACTGCCTTTGCTTCCCCCCCATCCCAGAATGGAAAGGTCTGACCACTAGTTCACAGAAGGAACATGAACTTCATTGAACTTCTCAATCATCATGCAGAAAGGTGAGGGGAAGAAAAAAGAATCAGTCTTCATGATGTTGTCCTAGGGACTGCGCGTTTTCTGAAAGTTCACTTGGGAGCAACAATGCTTTATGGGTCTTTGCCTGAGACTTAAAAGCATGAAAGTTCCGAAGAAGAAAACATTCACTCTTCAGCTGCAATGAAGTTCCATTAAATTTGATTCTCCCGGGAAATGCGGGGGAACTTGCGGCCAGTTTTAAGTGCCAGGAAGCTATAAAATATTTAGGTTGTCATTTCTTTCCCAACATTAGTCTGACGGTAATACTGTGGGACAGGTAAGCAGCGTATTTTATTGTCCTTATTTTCTAGACGAGGAATCTTGACAAGTCAACTGAGACTTGAAGTAGGCATGGAACAGATTAGAAGGCAGGCCAGGCATTCTCATAAGACAGTGGCAAAGGACGCCTAGCCTTGAAGGATGCCCTTCCACTCTGGTGCTGGGAGAGGCCCTGAAGCCATGTCCCTAGTGGTTCCATTCTACGACATACAGGGCAAGTCGAACAATCCAAGAGGAAGTTACTTCCATGAAAAATTAAAAACCACGCATAGCCAATGGAATGAAAATGGTCTTTGTAGTAAGAAAAAGTATTTCCTCAATTCCTCCCGAAAGAAAGGTAAATTCTGTAGCAAGTACTCAACCGAGGTGAAGATAAAAAAAACGACTTGCCTCTCAGTCTCCTCTCCAACACAGGAAAGGGGCCCTTATGTAAGGGGACTCTAAGACACCAGAAGTAAAAATGCATTCCCAAGCGCTCTAGGTACCCAGAAGAGGAAGAAACACCGTCCATTTGATGCTGGCGGCAACTTTCGGACATCAGAGCGTAAAAGAAAAGGGGGAACGAGCAGACAGGAAAACATGAGCTTGTGGTGAAAAGAAAGAAGAATCCCAAATGCACGAGGAGGCAATGTAAGGATGGCTTAATATTAAGAAACTGCTTTGAGACAGAGCTGCCAGCAGCATTCAGGCTTCTCAAAGGATTCCTGTGTTATCTCTCAGTCCTGACACCAAGAAAAGATGGCTGGCTGGACAATGGGAGTCACGAGCAAAGATGTTACCAGCGTGGACTGAAGTGACTAATTGCAGTTGGAGGCCTCCTGGTGACAATTTTGAGAAGGCAAACACAGCTGCAGCATAGCCAAATATAGCTGGCCCAGACAAAGACATCCATAAAGTTAATCATTCCGAAACACGCCACCCTTATGCTCAACTCGAAAACTCAACACTCCTCCTATAATGTAGGAAGTCAAAATACAGTTCAATGCGCAGAAACAAGCAGCTGCTCCAGTGGAATTTACAAGTGATGAGCTAGGTATTTGGATACTGCTCTCCTCCCGAGGCTCCAACCCTGAGAACTAAGTCCCAGACGGCTGTGGCCCCTTCTGTTGAAACTTAGGAAGCCGCTCAGGAAAAGGATAAAACGGGCATTAAAGGAGATTTTTTAAAACATATATATAAATCAGGAAAACATAAGAAGGGCAACAAGACAACTTCAGAGAAAGCTGTACTCTGTACTGGTTATGACCACACTGAATCTAGGCCAGGGTACAGAGATTCAGGAGTGAAGAGCAAAACAACGAAGTAAATCCACATTAGTCCTCTAACAAATGCTTTCTGTCTTCACACTTTTGGGTATCATCTTTCTATTATTCCCCTAAGAGTTTTCAAGGACCAAATGATTTCAACCCTGTTTTACTTGATACCCAATGTCTTCCCCCCGAGTTCCAAAGAGAAAACACCTGGGTGTGTGTGGCGGGGGAGGCGGGTAGGTATTTAAGTTGGTTTAAACCAATTTACCCACTTCCGGGCTTGTGAATCTGCTGTAACGTTCACCTTTTTTAAGTGTTCAGTTTATATGCTGGACTCCCATTAGACAATAAAAATTTCAAGGACCCCTTTCAACAGCAACAGGTGGCAGTGGGATCATGACATGGATCATATAAAATGGAAGCAGCAGCCAAGAGGCACAAGGTAGGGGGTGTGGTCCGCGGAGGACCGTATGTGTCTGCATAACAAGAAAACATCCGTGGAGGCCCAACTGTCCAGATTTCTCTGTGAAGTCTGTTTTTCTTCCTACTCTAACTCTGAAAAGACCTCAGGAGTAGCAACATCTTAATTGCCACTGAGAAACAGAAGAAGCCCCCAGATCCAAGGACTCAGCAGTGAGGAGAAAAGAGGCCCTCAAAAGGGAAAGAGTCTGAGCTTTTCACCCAGTAACATGGCAGAACTGCCAGAGTGAGGTTGTCTTCACCCTTCATCAGAGTTAATCCAAAGTTCTGGGCAGAAGAGTTGAAATACAGTCCTGAGACTTTTTTCTAGCAGTATCACTAATTTGCAGTACATCTTTGGTCACAATGTGAAACTTTTCTGAACATAAAGTCTTTCAGTTACAATGGTAATAATCCAAAAACACAAGTATGATCACTTTTGTAACCAAAGACCATTTCGTGGTAAATATTTTAAGAAAGCGAAGACCTATGCTGTATTAGTCCATTTTCAAACTGCTATAAAGAACTGCCTGAGACTGGGTAATTTATAAAGAAGAGAGTTTTACTCAACTCACAGTTAAGCATGACTGGGGAGACCTCAGGAAACTTACAATCACGGCAGAAAGGGAAGGGGAAGCCAGGCACCTCCCTCACAAGGTGGCAAGAAGGGAAAGCGTTGAACGAAGGGGGAAGGGCCCCTTATAAAACCATCGGATCTCGTGAGAACTCGCTACCACGAGGACAGCACAC
Organism: Homo sapiens; assembly: GCF_000001405.40. Classification (NCBI taxonomy): domain Eukaryota; kingdom Metazoa; phylum Chordata; class Mammalia; order Primates; family Hominidae; genus Homo; species Homo sapiens. Next base: position 11,025,398 of record NC_000010.11, on the reverse strand, counting down.
GAGAAACTGTCCCTATAATTCAATTACCTCCACCTGCTCTCTCCCTTGACACGTGGGGACTATGGTGACTACAATTCAAGATGAGATCTGGGTGGGGACACAAAGCCTAACCATATGTCCAATAAGATGACTTTCCAGATATACAGTCACATACATATACACACACACACACACACACACACACACACACATATATGTATATACCCCCACACATATTTCAGGCCTACTGACCACATTCAAGTAAATGACAAAATACTTTACTCTTTTAGCCTAAAAGACCAACTGATTGTCTTTGTGTCAAATAAATGAGGGTCAACTTTCCTGCTACTAGGAGAAAGGAAGACATAATTTGGGAGAAAGGATATAAAATACCACCTTAAAATTTAATGAGTTTTACTCAAGCTGTGAACTTTCTTTAGAAAAAGCATAAAATCAAGACTTTCAGCATAAAAGCACAGAATTTTAGACTTAGTATGTAAATCAAAGTACTTGGGAGTACACTGTTATGGTACCAGAAACAATTTAAGCTGTCCAAAAGCTATGTCAAGATGTGAAATAAATCAGCTGACCTTAATTTCATTGTCCCTGAGTAGTGAGTCACCACCTTCATCTGTGAAAGTAGGAAATCTTCAGTCCTATTGGAGCTTGTAAATGTCAGACAAATCAGCTGTGGCACTGGGGAGACTGGATTTCCATGGTTATGACAGAGAGCACTGCATACAGTCTCACTGAGGAGACAAACTTCCGGGACTTCTTCATTATTATTATTATTATTACTATTATTATTCTTAGAAGAAGAAGACGGAGTCTTGCTCTGTCGCCCAGGCTGGAGTGTAATGCTGCCATCTCAGCTCACTGCAACCTCCACCTCCCAGGTTCAGGCGATCCTCCCCCCTCAGCCTCCCAAGTAAGTGGGACTAGAGGCATGCGAAACCACGGCGAACTAATTTTTGTATTTTTAGTAGACACAGGGTTTTGCCATGTTGGCCAGGCTGGTCTCCAACTCCTGAAGGTGATTCGCCTGCCTCGGCCTCCCAAAGTGCTGGGATTACAGGCGTGAGCAACCGTACCCGACTGACTTCTTTAATTACTGAGATTTAAAATCAAAATATTGTATCTAACTCCTACCTTTAAAGCACTAGAGGAATCCTGGCAAACTGGTCAACTACCTAGGTGACTCCTGGGCTGCTGATCTGGAGGACGCACAGATTGTTTAAATGAAGATCTCTTCAGAATAGATTTCTTCATTTAAAACCCAACCTTAAGTAAAAGGCCACATAACCTGATAGAAAAACACAGACTAATAAAGCCGACCTGATAGTTTAAATACAGCCTAAACTTAATTTACATAAATCTTTAGGAGGAAAAAAAATGGGTCTAATAATTTGCTGGTTATGTTGGCTCTGAGGCATTCACTCAAATGGAGTAAATAAAATTTAACCAAAACCTGAATTTGTACTCATACGTCATTTTGAAAACCACAGGACTACACACTTATTAGCATTACATTTTAAATTATCAGCTGATTTTAAAACATCACTTTTAGTATCTAAACAGAACATACAATCTGCAGTTCATAAAAGAGACTGTTCATAAAACTCCAGGTTGGCACGGCCAATGCGTAAATCTCAAATACGCTCACAAGGCATTTCAGCCACATAACTGGAATTGTATTTCTATAAAAACAGTTGGAGTAATCACTTTCTGTCATGATTTAGAACAAATGGGGAGAGTGAAGCTGTTCAAAATCTCCCTCAATGTCTTCCCCTTTCTTTTAAAAGTCCTTTAGGAGGAGTCTAAAGCTCTCACTAAATGAAAAATACATTCCCAGGAGGAGGAGATGGTTTCCATCCCTTCACATCTGGATTCAGAGCATGAGGATATTGGATGGAACAATTACACGGTGATGATACTAAAGGGGAATAATTATTTTACAATTACCTGAAAGCATCACATTTGCTGCTCTAATTAGTTTTTGTTTCCCACATAGGTTTTTCCCAGGAATGTGCAGCTCCATTTCTCTTAAGTTTAGCAAGAGCTGTTTCTTAAGGAAAAATAAAAATACATTTTCTGCACTGCTACACAAGTAGCACACCACTGATACTGGCTTCATTATATTACTCGGCACCTCCTTGGTGGAGGAAACAAACAGGATGCATGAGAACTTGTAGGTGCTAATGAACTGGAAATCATTAGTAGTTTCCAAACCCTCCCTTCTGTGGTTCTGTAAAACAAACATTACACTGACAAACATCTAACTCTTTGTGATGGCCTAATCCGAAAACAAAAAGCGAAAATGTGACCCTCCCGTGAAGAAACAAAATCTCCCAAACGGTAATACTCTAAAGTGGAAATAATGACCTATTAAGTTTGGGTAAAGTGCAGCATTGAACATAAGCAACATTGATGACTTATTAATTTTGCTCCTTGACTCATGTTGAAAATATAACATTTTCCATTTAAATGCAAATTAGATACGGAATGCTTATAGTACTGCTTAACATTTATGAGAGTTTGTTTTCATTTTTGTCGGTTTTTACAAAAAATTCAACAATGACATCATATTCCCATTATAATCTACATATAAGTCTCAACAATGATCGCTACCCTGATTTTTTGCCCAAGAGCTGGGTCATATTGGGCGCTGGCTGTATTACACTCAGCTGTATCAGATCATTTTGCATGCCAAACGTAACCTGTCTTTTTATGCTAAGTAAACGAGTGTTTAACCTTTAATAAAAGTAAGGAAGGGGTAAAGAGAAATGAAGTTTGGGGATTTATGTAAAAAAGCTAAGGATATTGCAGTCTTTTACCAGAGGCCAAATACAGTGTTATTGTAGCTGTCAGGGGAGAAAAAAAAAACAACCAAACACTGAGAAGTGGAAAACACTCCAAATGATCCCATGAAATCTTAATTACTAGGTTCATATCCAAAAATCCCATCACCTTTTTATCTTGTCTTTCAAGGGTCTTGTTTCCCCAGCTCACTGCATCTCATCAACAGATGCCAAAGTTATCTCAACCCAGCAAATTGCAATTAAACAGCAAGATTAAACAATTAAAATAATACCTCTGCCCAGATCAAAGATAACATCAGTGTTCTAAAAAGCCAATGTGGGATGAATTCTTCCTCTCGGAAAGCAGCTGATAACATGTGCTGTTAACGGAGCAATCTCAACTGAAAAAAACACTTCAAAAATTTTCCTTAAAGAACCATACGCAAAGTCTTTTCTTTAGACTTTTCTCATTTTAATTTCCTTTCATGACCATCAGAGTATCAGGTGATAAATGCCAGTTATCTCCGTATTATTTATAACTGCATTTTCTAAATAGACTTTAAATGCCCATGGAGGAGAAAAACAGAACCCCACTGCTTTTGATCTTTATCTTGCTGGAACCTTGTAAACCAAAAAGATTTTTAATTAAAACGTATTCTGCTTAGTTAATAAATATATGGAATAACCGAATTGGAATCAAATTAGAAAGTATAAAATGATGTTTCACATACATCAATCCTGATCAGGTGACATACTTATTTCTTATGCTCATTCTCACATGGCACAGTTTTGATTTTGATAAAAGGGTATGTCATATCCTTTAATTCAGTGTTCTTCTCTGCATCAACCCATGAACATTACATGCCACCCCACATGTGTTCACTTACTTGAAAACCACAGTTTTGCCATTTACTGCCTATGTGGCAGGGGCAAGCAGGTCACCTCTTTAAGCATCATCTGTAAAATGTGGGCAATATCCACCCTGCAGATTAGAGACGGTGTGAATAAACTATCCTGGCGCATGGCAGGCACTCAACTAACAACTCACGTTTCCTTATTTTGGGGGGAGGCAGTAATTACTTCTTGGACTCGTCACACTGCCCCTCTAACAGTTTCTTAATCTATAAAATGAGGTCTGATGAGATGGTCTCTAAAGCCCTTTTCAGCTTTAACAATGATGTCCTTAGAACCACCCTTCAGTTTAATTATACACTGATAGATATTTTGCCAGTTATCCTAACTTGAAAGGACTTAACAAAAAGCTAGTTCATTAAGCTGATGAATTTACAGTCAACATAACTTTTCTCATTTTCAATAAGGTTACCTACCAAATGTAAAAAAAATTTATTTTTAATTTATTGGTAGACTCTTCTCAGTGTCTTATTCTAACACCTAATGCTTTTTAAGCTGTGTTTATCAGTCTAACTGTAATTTCTCATTTCTGAGACTTTATTTATTAGCTTTGTTTAAAAATCCAAAACCATTTACAAACCCTAAATGCATGTATATGGTCATTAAAAAGGTGAATCAAAGGAGGAAACACTCTCCACCATCTTAATTGAAAATCAACTGTCAGTTTAAAATCAAATTTAAAAAAAAATCAGTGCCTGTTTTCATTATGCTGTGTGGCTAATATTGTAGATGATATTGTATAGTAACACAAAGACAATGAAACTTTAATAGCCAAGATTATTTAAAATGTCCATTTCCATTTATAGTTTTGATACCGAATGTTTAAAACCCCAAAACTTTGAAGCATATGTTACAGCAATTCTACACCACTACAGAGCCTTAAATGATCTGGGCTCTTTAAACACTGGATAGCTCGTGGGGCTATCAAGCGTAATAATTCATCTCAAAAGCTATTTGTTCATCTGCCTTGAGGACTCAAACATATTACATCTTGCAAACTTATCTAATATATTCTCGTGGGAAAACGCCATTGAAAATATTCTACTGCTTTAGAAAAATCAACAGCAGAAAAGCCCCTATGCTTTATTTAAGTTCCTTTTAGGAACAGGCCAATATCTAGCCGACTGCAATTTAGTCCAAATGGCAATATACCACACATGACAACCAGTCCCTAAAACAATAAATCCGCATGGCTATCTTCTCAACTGGGTGAATATGGCAATAAAACTTACAACTTAGGCGGATTTCAGGCATTTTCAACTTGTCATATTCCCCCCCACACACCTCTATCCCCAGATACAGTATTTAATGTGAGTTAATTATGAACGATATATAAAAGCATGCTCTAGTGTTCTCAGGGCTATGGAGACACACAATAGCTATTTAGGAAACAAATAATAAAACTATCATTTACAAATCCTCTTTTCTTCCCTTAGTTCAATTAAGCAACAGCTGACAAACGCTGAGAACAATTTGGGTTTGATTCCAAAGGCTATCATTTGGAAATAACTAACATTTGGAAGAGAAGTGAGGTGGAAGTCACGTTAGGATTTTCATAGGAGACTCCATGGCTAAGGCACAAGGGCTCAGTTCAGAGCAAATCGCTTGAACAGGCCACATTCATCCACCAAATGAAAAGGATAAATTAAATTTTTGTAATTCATAATTTAATTGACAAGAAACTGCATCTTTCTGAGGCCATTAACACTTTAAATTCATAGAGCATTCATCAGCTTAGCTATATTATGGTCACTTAAGTAGCAGGTGACCATAAATTCAAAATCATGATTAGGCGAATTCTTCAGTTTAGCCTGGACCCTCTAGCCTCTAGAGGAGAAAACGCATAAAACTTTCATACTAGCTCATGTGCAAACATGTATTACGTGTCTATACAGGTATATATTTTAAGATGGGGGACAGGACAGAGGTCTCTTAAAACAAATATCGTGGAAATGTTACTAATCATGATTCACATCTCGGAGAAAACTACCAAAACAGAATACGGAAAAGATGAACCTGATCGTGTACAAGCAAATTAACATTCTTAATATTGACTCAAAAGACAATTTGCATAACAGATTCTATCATCCCCCTCCTCCACCCCCCTCCTTTTTTTTGGTGGGGAGGTCCTTGCAGCTCAAATAATTGGCCACTGCAGAGTTTCTCAAGAATCTCTTAACTCATAACACTTAACATGCTAGAAAAAGAATCTAGCATGGCAGGGGAAAGTTAGTTGCCAGGGAAATGGATCATAAAGCCTGGAATAACCTCAATACTGCAGAGTACCATAAGGTGCCAGACAGAATAGGGATGTTAAGTCCTACAGTGGGTAGAACAGGAAACATTTTACACGCACTCTTACCATACCAATCCATTTTTTTCTCACTGGATTAGATTAATTACAGCTTAGATCCGCTATCCAATTTCTCGCCTGATCAGAGAAAACTTAAAATGTCGAAAAAGGACACAGACCTTTTGTTCCCACTCTGGCAATCTTTTCTCTCTTTTTAGGTTTCCTTTTCCTAACATGCCTGAAATACAAATAGATCCTACTGACCCCTCCGAGCTAATAAAAACTTTCCTATCAAGCCAGCTAAAAATTAGACATACTTTCCTTTCTTCAGGAATCCCAGCTCTCTACTTCTTTCCAATAAACGCTCTACCTTAGTTTGACGACATGTAAAACAACCAGAATCACATTAATTATTAAATTACAGACTGCATATCAGACAAACCATGATTACGTAAAAATTACCTCTAATTTCTGCAATAAAGTACACCTGGCTAGTTTCACGCTTTATAATTATCCCCCCGCCCTTCCTTGTCTCCGCTTCCCCTCTCCCACCTTAGGAAAGGATCTTTGCAAATATTAAATCAGATGAGCGGGTAATTTGGTAAGAAGAGCTCTTTCCCCCCGGCCACCAGAGCTCCGTCAGCCCCGCATTTCAAATGACACAAGCGTGCACACTCGCACGCGCGCACCCCGCCCGGACCCCGTGCCCGCTCGCCGGTCCCCGCCCGGTCCCCGTCACGCCGCGCTCCGCTCAGTCCTCACCCGGACCCCCAGACCCCGCCCGGTCCCCGCCCGCCCCACCGGACCCCGGGACTCCGCGCCCGGCTCGCCGGTCCCACTTGGACTCATGGACCCCGCCCGGACCCCGGGACGCCGCGCCCCGCTCACCCTGCTCGCGGGTCCTCGCGCCGGTCGGTGGACCCCGCCCGTCCCCCACTCACCCCGCGGGGACCCGGGACGCCGCGCTCGGCCCGCTGGTCCTCACCCGGACTCGCGGACCCCGCCCGGTCCCCGGGACGCCGCGCTCCGCTCGTCCCTCCGGGAAGCCCCGCGCCCTGCACCGCCGGCGCTGCTCGTCCGCACCCGCTCCCTCCTCCCGCGTCCCGTGCCGGCCTCCGAAGGCCGAGGGAGGCGACGGATCCGAAGCGGCCGAGTCGCGCCCGGGAGCTGCGGGCGACGCCCGTCCCCTTCGCGCCGCCGACTCTGGGAGGAGGACGCCCGCTCGCCCGGCCTCGGGACGCGGCGCCACTCACATTCTGTCAGGAACGAGCAGGCGGCCCTCGACCATCATGTCCGGGAGGAAATCCAGCTTGAAGGCAGAAGTCATGTTCGCGGGCGCACGCGGCGGCAGCGGCGGGGGGCGGCTCTGCGCGCGTCCGAGCGGCCGCGGGCGGCGCGAGACGGGCAGGGACAGGTGCGCGCGGCCTCCCCCGGCGGCCGCCGAGCCGGCACTTGTCACATTCTCTCCTCGCGCTCCGCCAATCCCCTCCGAAATCCAGCGCCGGGGCGGCCGGCTGCCGAGCGCCAGGTGCGGCGGGCGGGGGCGGAGCTCGCGGGGCGCCCGCCGCCGCTTAACCCCTGCGGGCCCGCCGGCCCAGAGCGCGGCCCCGAACCCGGCTCCGCCCCGCGGGGACACAGGGCGGGCCGCCTCCGCGCTCACCGCCCGGGCACGGCCAGACTTCTCAGGGTCCCCTGGGCCCCCGAAGGCAAACCCGCTCCCCGCCTGGCTCTGCTCCCCCGCCCGGGGGTCCCTGGCAAGAGGCCGCCGTGGCCGCTCGGAGTAGGTTTAGGGCCACCCAGGCGCCAAAGCCCGCTCCACTTCCATACCCGAGCCGCGCTCCCAGAGCCCAGCCGCGGGAGGCGAGCAGCCCGAGGGTTCGCTTCGATGCTCCTCGGTGTGGTGTGCTTGCCCGGGCAGGAACTAAGGGCGATCACCGAAAGGATATAGGAGGTTTAGGCAAAATAAAGATCAGATCTATGACCCAAGTGACATTTAGGGACTTATCGCAGTGCCCTAAGGAAGACAAACCTGTCTCTGCACGATGGCACTGCCTTTTCTGTCATCTTGCAAACACTAAGAAGTATAAGCGGCTGAAAATAAAGTCATAAATCACGTTTTCTACACAAACGATAATCATGAATCTGCCATTTCCTAGTATTTAACACAATAATTAGAAACCAGCTGAGTGAATTCACGAGTGTTAGGTCTGTAATGTAAGGGCCATGAAGCTTAAATATCCACTTAAGATTTGTGACTGATTTACTAACAAGAATTGAGAAAAATGGCCAAACTCAGAAAAAACAGAGAAGCTGGCGAGTTTAATTTTTAAGTGATTTGCATAAGTTCTGGAAAACTAATTCGTTTCTAAGGTGACATTCTAATTGATCGTTCTCACTGTTGATTATGTGGGTGGCAAACTTTTCACAGTGTAGTCACAAGTATGTAAGACTTCATGGCATATTTCACATTCTGAATCAACATCATAAATTGCGTACCAAAAGTTTATAGTTTACCTCTTAGAGAAACCTTCACTTGATTTTGTAATGACATCTTAAACTTTTAGGGTAATGTATGTGTCTATACAGCTATACATCCATATACCTATACAAACATACACGCACACACACATGGTTTTGTTTGAAATATGTAATTTTCAGTCTTTGTCTTTCTAAAAATCAGAACTGTGCTAGGAAGCTGGGCTTTCTCCTCACAAATTATGCCTGAGGATACCATCACACAAACCAGAGGGTTAAACAACCAAGTTACAAATAGTTAAATGTATCAGACATGATATAGACAAAATATGATTTTAATTATTTCTCACCAGATTCTTGTGTGATGACAGCTAACTATCTTTAGAGGTTATGAAGGCAAATGGACACTTACATATCAATTTTAAATCCAGTTTGATGCATTGAGCAATACAAAGTATCAGACCTGGGATATTCAATTAAGTCCACACATGCTTAATGGACTTGGTTGCCTTCTTCAGCTGAACAATGTATCTGGCTTTTGACCTTCTATTTCCAAGATCATTAGATGTAGGGCTAAACTAACCTTAATTTTTTAAATACTACCTTACTGGAGGAACCAGGTCTGGGCTCCTAAGGAACTGAGGAATGGTTGCAATCGAGTGAATTCTTATACTCCCAAAGGGCCAAACTTGTCCCCAGACTACTAAGCTGCATTTATTCCCCAGCTACTCTTCTGCCTTTGAAATTACAGGATTTTGATTGGTCTTCAATTATCTTAATAATTAGCTGGATAAATGAAGACAAACCTTGGCAGTTCTTGGTTTTCCATACGTTATTTGCATAAATATCTAATGTATATAATCAGCTGACTATATAAAAATTATTTTAAGAAAGGAGCAGACTTGGCCTCCAAAACAGAAGCAAAACACAACTGCATTAATCAAAATGAAAAATATTTTCTAATCAGCCATAGCATAAAGGCTACATTCTGTAAGGTAGAACATGTATATCTACATTCTATAAGGTAGAACATGTTTCATTAACATGTACGCTTCTGAAATACTTATTTTCTCTTTAATTGCATGTGAATTAGTTGGAAGAAGCTGTAAGGAAGCCCTCTTACTGACTTAAGCCTTCTCAGCAGTTTGTTAAATTCTAGCCTCAAATCCCTTGAGGCAATAGTGGATTCAAAGCAGCTTTTAATCATACTATGAGGAGGGTGAAGTAGTATGTAAGTAGGTCATAGAGAGAGGATTCCAAGTGCATAGGTTACTGCTTTATTTAACTACTGTGTAACATAGTTTTCAAATCACATTTGCTTTTGCAGTTTAAAGATATAAGCAAAACCAGGGTCAAATATAAAAGAAAACTCACTCTACATGGGATATGGTGATGTGAACCGAGGAGAGCTTATGGGGTGCATCTGACTTTAAATACTTTGGCTGCCAAATAAATAATGTAGTGATTGCATAGGCACTTGATGTAGATACCAGAGGGAAACTAAATACTCACACACATCACCCCCCACCATAGGTTATTGACAACAATCTTCCATTTGTAGCTTTCATTTCTAATATCGAGTCGGTTTCCATGATCACAGCACATACACAAAAGCCATTTGTAAAAATACAAATTTCAAAAGCTCTTGAGAAAACAAAACAAGAACACCCAACCAAATACCACCCGATGAAAAGCTTCAATTTCTCATTTCACTGCTTTGGAAAGAAGAAAAAAAATCTAAAAACAACTCAACAGGGCCCCTTTTTTAATTTTCATGCAGTAACGAGCCATCAGGTATCATGTTTTGGCAGTTGGAGTTATTTGGCAGACAGCTCTATGGGGCCGCTGTTGAACGCTCGGGTTCAATGAAGCTATTTTATAGTCAAGGATCTTATCGACAGCAGTGGAGGGGACGACGCCATCAGCTGGCCCCACCCGTGGATATGAACCGGTTGGTGACACCACCCTGTGTTGCCATCACTGGGGACCAGGCTGTCCTGAACAATGAAGTTTCCTCATAGTTTTAGCTGCATTGTGGAAAAACCTTAAGCTCTTCTTAGCCCCATCCCCCTACCTTCCCTAATTGTCTCCTTTTTTTAATCAACTTGCTATTCATTTCCCAAACAAAAGGCAATTCAAGAATTGGAAGCACTTCAAGGGAAAGTTTCTGAATGACCTCATTTTATATGAGGCCTTCCCAGGCAAGGGAAAGCACTGTGCAGTTTCAGCTCCACTTCCGTCTTCGAACCTCATCTCATACAGAGTTTTGTCCACAGGTCATTGAGCACTGAATTATCACTGGCATTAAAAAAAAAACACACTCAATGGAAACAGTGCTAATAAATGCATTTGTACGCAGAGTACAAACTGCTTGAATTGGAATACAAACCCTTTTCCTGCCACCTCACTCAATCAGTGAACCAGAATACAGTCCACTGACTTGAGATCTTTCAACATTTTTGCACAAAGTTGCTACTATAATTTAGGGACTGGTGCTTGATATATCGTGACCCATGTTTATAACCCAACAGTTAATTTTCTGCTCGTGCAGACAACCTTGTATATCTTGTGACATTTCCATTTTTTATTATTCCTATACATAACTTCCCATGGTAGCATCACTTAAAAGGCAGTAGCTATCAGCCCTTCAACTACAGAACAAAGATGTGCTAGCATTGTTCAGTCAACTCAAAAAGCCACCTTTACTGAAGGATTTCTTTTTCCTTCTCATTTCTGGCTCGTCATGACAAACCAGGATGCAAAACATCTTTCCCCTATCACATTTGCAAATTCAAATTTTATTAGCATAGCTGTTTTAGTTAACAGCAACAGCAAAGAAACAAAAAAACACGTCCAGCGTGCTCACAGCCATTTGGAGCAAGCAATACAGGCCCTGTGAGGGGATTTCCCATCATTGCCAGGCAATACATTTGAAATCCACATGAATTTTAAGTACCTGAGAGAATATCTGACTTTGTGACCATGTGTTTGTTCTTGGCTTACTGCAGTTTCATTAGCAACTTGCAAAAATAAACATTTTTTAATGTGTTAACAAAAAACCCCAAACATATCCTTAAGTGACACATTGTAAGCCTATCTCTTCTTGGTTCCGTAATGACATCACTTAAACAATAAATATTTATATCGCCAATTATAAGTTTAAAATGATCACTTATTTTCCCTCCATCTTGATAACTTCTGGAACAGTGACATTATCACATTTCTAAGGCGATTTAAGTAAAAGTAAATGCCAATAAAGATGAAATCGTTATTAAGCTCATTTTACATTTTTTCAGGGAATAGTAAGTAGTCACCATTGCTTGAGAATAGCTTCCACTGGTTTCTATTTATTTTTATTTTTTGCAATCTTGTGTTTTTCTGAAGCTGTTTTTCATAGAGCCAGAATACATCATGATGAATTTATCTCCCTTGTGAAGAGGCCTTCAAGCTGAAGACAGTTCCTTGGATACATACCTTCTCACTCGCAAAGGAGGGACCCCACTAGCGTGGTCTGCAGCTTCCAATCCAAGGGAATGAAATGTTAGCACTGTGGATCTCTCACACCCAGAGCCCAACCATCTCATCACTTCCCTCTCTAACTTGCCCTTTCCTTTTTCTCCTTTCTCCATTGTACCAAGATTGCAGGCCTTTTTATTTCTTTCTTTCTCAGCTTTCTCTTTCTCCCTTTTCTCCTCCTCTCTCTCAAATGGGAGCCAGACAGTGGCAGAAACTTCCTCTCCAGCTGCGTGTCTGAGGAAGTAGGTGGCTACCAAAGTGAAGAAAGGAGCCGTGGGTTGCTCATCTGCCAGAGAAATCATGTTTGACTTGCCTTGACCAAGGCCGATTTCTGAACTAGGAACAGCTGTCTTCGCAGTGAGCCCTGGGATTCCTTTCCAGACATTACCAGGAAGAGGAGGGGGAGGATGGAAGACTGTCCACTATGAAGGGAGTCAATAGGATGTGAAAACTGGGAAGGAGACGTCTGGGGAAGGGGTGGGGAGAAGAAAAAGGCTTCCCTGTTTAGCACTGTGATTTGCACACGGCAGGCACTCAGAAAAAAAAAAATCCTTTGAAGAAATGTCCCAGTGCCCTCTTGAAGATGCCGAGATTTGTCAAACCATACCAAGTGCCCTTATCTGGTGCCAGCCTGGCGGCAGGAACAAAATTTACACTTATCAGAATGAGGTTTTCATTCCTTCCCAGTCCACCCCTCACTGCCCCCACCCCGACGACATGTTTTCCCCAACTGGTCAGAAGTTCTTGTCTTACTGTCACATGGTGTTAAATTTTAGAAAAAGGAGACATTACCGCTTGACAGACTACAACAGCTGAACAGCAACAGCTGGGAGGACACAGTTGCAGGCGTAACATTCGGTCCCGGAGAAGGCAGCAACAGGTGGGGTGAAAGGAAGAGAAATGGATGTGGTAAGCTTGAGGGTGGGGTTGTCTGAGACGGATCTTGGCAGGAATCAAATTCTCTACTTCAGAGGGAATCTCTCTGGGCATGACAGCCCATGTGCCTGAATGTCTGTCCTTTTTCTGAACAAATACATCTTGAAAAAAGAGTGAGGATTAAGAGAGCCAAAGCTTTGGTTTCTGTTAAAATAAAGCAAATGAATCTACTTGACTCACTATGGTAACTGATCCCTCCCAAAGAGCTCGTGGTCACTAGGATCAGAAGATATCTGATCCAGTACATGCAGATCAGAATCTTTAGGGCAAGCACTGCTTTCAGACTGAGTGAAGACATTTTGAGGCTTAAGAACCAGACTTGTTGGATTCAGCATTTCATTCTGTCAAAGAGTTGATTGACAATGGGAATGAGTCATTTAATTTTCTGATTCATCAGCTAGACCTTTCTTCTTAAGCGTGGCCATTCCGTACTTCCTAATAGAGATGAATGGCTGAAAAATCAAAGCCTACCATGATCCTCAGATAAGAAGTACAATGTGTTAACCTAATTATCACTACAGCAGTTATATAACCAAGCTATTAAAGTGACATGTAGGTTGAAAATACATTAAGGTTTTGAGCACAGGAAATTTATTTTTTCCCTATAATATGGTTCAAATCTCCAGCCATTTTTAGCCAAGGATAGAGGCTTTTGAAAATCCCAAATGACTTTTTATTTAACTTTGCTTTTGATGCTAATTCCCATGAAGTCCATTAGGGGAAATTTTTTTTCTTTCTCTTAAAAGAACTACCCAAAGCCTTTAGGAAAAAGTGGTATAGCTACCTAGTCAAGCTATACAGAGTGGAGTATGTTCTATCTTGTCCTACCACTATCGCTGAGTACAAAGTGTCATGTGACCTAATCACTTCACTTCTCAATTTCCTCTTTATATGAATAGCTACATATTTGCCCTGTTTCATAGGAATAGGGCAGGTAAGAGAAGAGGAGAGATGTAAATGACATTAGGGTCTGAGGAAGAAAGGAGATGAAGCTAAGGATTGTATTTTGCGTTTTTTTTTTTTTTAATAATAAAGATGAATTCAGGGTGTCCTAATGACACCTTCCCTCTCCCCCTCACCCACCTCCATCTGCCCATCCTTCAGGGCCCAGCTCAACTCCCCTGTCTCTGCATCTCGCCACTTGACCCCTCCTCATTCACTGTCTACTCTTTGTTCCATGAGTGCTGTGAGTTGCTTGAGGCCCCAGACTATGTCTTTCATTGAGCACTGCATGTATGTTTGTTACTTGCTTGGTTTTCATTGCCGTATGACCTATTTTGGCCCCCGAGATGCATAAAAATTCATACTTTAATTTCATAATGCTTTAAAATTGTCTATTGTTCCTTCCAACATCTGTTCCCATTATACAGATTCAAGCCCAAGAGAAGTGAGGCATGGGATGCTTTAATTCAAAGACCTCCTCAGCTGTAAGGTGAACAAATGAGGGTACAGAAGAGAGAGTTGTTAGAATCTACATTGGTACTTTCAAAAATGTTTCCTTTCTTCCTTCCTAGATGCTTTCTGCATTAGCACTGTGCTCCATTTCTTCAGTCCTATGCCCTTCCCAAAATTGGCACTGCAAGGTAAGTTTAAAAGAGCTGTAATTTAGGAAGGGCTGAGCAGCTGAAACTATAAACAGTGACCAGGGATTTGACCGCAGATCCTACGTGACAGTTCCTCGCTGAATTGTACAACTTCCTCGCTAGTTAAAGCCAGGAGACACAAATCAACGTCTACAGTGGAACCACAGCACCAGAGAAAGAAATGTCTTTAAAATGTCAACTATTAAATAGTTATACTGTCAAGATGGCTCATGGGAGGTGTTTGGCTGAATACAGGGTCATAGTTCCTCCCACTGTGTCTATGGGCCTGTGACTTTACCTCTCTCGGGCTCAGTTTTTCATCTTTAAAATGGGAATAACAACTACCATTAACTCTTGGATATCTGAGGATTAAATTATACAAGATCAAAGTAACCAGTTAGTGTAGTGCCAGGTAGATTGTTAATAAGTTTCATTTTTATTCCTTATTTCAACACCCCCACCCCTATCTTTGTTAAAACCTACAACGGGCAGTTGGAAAGGAAGAGAGAAGGCCAGTACTGATTCGATTGTTCTTTTAGCACTGAGGTTTCCACTGATACTTCTAAGGCCTGTAGCCAGACCCAGAGGGAAGAGGGAGGTTATCGTTTCTGGAGAGCAGGCACCGAACATCCTGAGGCTTGGAATGGGGTCTCCATTCGTTTTTATCAAATCGTTTTTCATAAACAAGGTCAACATGAGTTTTCATTTACAGACATGATACCTTAAAGGCATCTCCAAATGAGCAGGTCAGCCTTCTCATCGAGCCCAGAGGAGAGCTGGACTCTCAGCCCAGGATGTTCACAAAGCAAAGCATGAGCAACATCGCAGGGCCTGCTGTCCTGGTGGGACTGAGATGGAGAGCCTTACAAGAAGGATGAAAAGCAACTCATCAATTTCCGCATAAAGGCACAACTGTGCCCAGGCTAGTCAGTTCACAGACCTGCTAGAAGCCCGTGATGCTGCCTGTAAGCTTCAACACAGAGTTTTCTACTGATTGCAGCTGCAGGCCTTCTGAAGAAGGGGATGAAAACAGCCACGCATATCGGAGGTATGTCAGCATCATAACTTGAAACCTCAAGCTCTTCCTTTCCATGACAACAAAGTTTGTGGAACTAAATAGTCTTGCAGGGAAATTCTAGTTTTTATTTTTCTCTGAGGGCATGCTGCCAATCCTGCTCCCTAAACTCAAGTGATTCATCACCATCCTAAACAGCCAATCATGGGCGGGTCAACCTGGAATGGGCTGAAGTAGCAGGAGTTCAATCTGCCCTCGTAATACATGTCACTCAGGGCTGGTGTCACCCTCTCTCCACAGATGCCATTTCCTGTTAACTTTGATGGTCTTGACATACAAGAAAATGTGCCGGATCAGTCACACACTCAGAAGAAAGCTGTGGGGGGAGATAAACACACCTGTACCTGATAATTGCTGACAACGTTCCATGAAGCAGAATGGTGTGTTTGGGAACAAAGTGTACCTCATCGAAAATCAGGGTTAACCAGCAACATCTCTGAGTTGAACGGAGGTTCCGACGCGCGCACGCACACACACACACTCACACACACGCGCACACACACACACACACACAACTTCCATCTTAGTCCGATCTCTGTGAATTGATGCCATTTAATCAGAAAGGTGCTTCGGCTCTAGGACACTTCATTTTAATTCTGAATGGGCTACAACATTAAAACCTCCCACGTCCTGTCCCTCCTTGGACACTCTCTTTCCAATGTCAGCCAAGTCAATTGCCACGAATTTTAATCCTCTCCACACCACTGCCTTGTCTTTCCTACCCAACAAAAGTCACTGTTAGTTCAGAAAAAGAATCCCATATCCAGGAACAATTAGAGAAGCAATCAATAGTTTTATGAATCAGGAATGCTCCCCCCCCCCCCCCGCAAATTCCCCAGGAATTATCAAAATATGCAAAGAAATTCAGTGAAGGCTAATAAAGGTGACCCAAGAAGGCATTATTGCCACTGAATGGACTTGTGCTCATTACTGTTCCAGAAAGTACAGATCAATGCCACAAAGAAGATGATGCCACAAAACAAACTGCATTCTGTTAATGACTGTTACAGAAATCTCCATACAAAGAAATCTAAGTGGGATATTTCTAATATGCTCACTACCATGATGACAAAACCAAGGTATGCTTTTCGTCTATGAATTCTGACACCTTAAATACAGAATGATCGTCCCCACGTAACACTCTTCCTTGTGCATTTTACTTTCTTTCCAAGAACCTGCGTGTTTCCATGGCTGTGCTCAATGAACTTTTTATCAGCCACATTTTCACCTAATTAACCCCCCTGATTACAATAATTAGTATTGATTCACTCTTTGAATGACTTCCTCGGTCTTCTAGCACAATCTGCACTTGCTACAAAGTTCTAGATATGAATACTAATCAAATGCTCACTTTCGTTTTTCAGCCCCAAAAGGAGATTTTTGCAAATGTATACCCTCCTATTTTAAAAAAAGCAAAACTGTCTGGTTTCATTTTAACAAATCAAGGAATATTCATACACAGGGGGTTAGAGATCTCAGTCTGTGGTCTGCTGAACACATCTATGTGAATATTCCCAAAGCTCATGGCAGAAGGGCTTAGGGTGCAATATTTACTTTCTGTGGAAAGAAGTCATTTTCCCAGTTTGAATCTTTTGCTATTCATTTTTCTGCATGTCTGGGCTTAGAATTAAACTTTCCTCCAACATTTGTTAAAGTCACTACCTTGAGGAATCATTACATATAGAGGCTTATGGAAGGATACAGATTACGTATCCTGTTCCTGTTGTGGAAATAGATGTAGACAAGTTTGCCAGCTTCGGGCAACCTCACACCGTCCCTATCAGGTGAAAGGAAAAGACATATGTATGTCGGATGCTAGAATGGGGGCAGCTTCCAAATTCCGGGAGCTGGTAATAATCCAACCACCGGAAAAGCAAACAAAGTGAGAAGAGAGTTACCTCGTTTCCGTACCTAACTGTGACTACCCAGGAATTAGAGTGACTAGATCACAGATAAATAACTGCTAATTTAGTCAAAAATTCAACGTGGGGGTTTCCACGTCGTTTCTTTAAGCGGGCCACGGACAAGCAGCTAGGGAGCACAGAAGGCTACTTTCCTCCCAACCCACACAAAATTGACTTGCAACCTTTGTTTTGGATTAAACATTTCCCATGGAAGCAGAATCGGAGTGTGCTGGAAACCGTGTGCCGGCCTCAGATATAAAGCTTCACCAATTACCTTTTATGAGCCCATCTTGAAAGCAGTTATTGGTATACGATGGAATGAGCAGTTCCGATCCCATCGCAAGTAAGACAACATCACAGGCATGCATTTAAAATTCACTCTATTCACAACCGATAACTTAAAAAATATGATTATGCTGCACATATGTTTTGAGTGTACCTACTCTGAAAATACTGTCCATAGAAAAATCTCTACTTTAGAAGGCAATTCTATTTATCCGGTAACATTTATTTTAATAATCCTGTATTAAAATTTTTTGTAACATTTCAACTTAAATTGAAAAAAACTGAAATTCACGTCCAAATTCTAAAAAATAGCTCATGTTTCATAACTGTTTTCCTAAGTAATACATCTTGTTTCTTATTTATTGAGAACATCATTAATTTAAACCAAAATATAATCCAATAGGGAATATTTACAACTAAAGTTTGAAAAATTACCCTTCAAAACAATTTCCCCTCTGTTTTTTAAAATGAGGTACTTAAACTCTCTCTATAAATGTACTAATATATTCTGATATATTGCTGTGGCACAAACAGCTAATTAAGCAACACATTAGAATGTTAGATAAGATATATTCTTCACAGAAGTCAACCTTAGTAAAATGATTTTCATGTAAATCAATTATAATTCACTAGTCTAGGGCCAATTCTTTTATTTCTTATGTGGCAATATGAATGGTTTCATTATTTGAGAAGTTTGAAACAGATTTTTCCATTTTCTCTGTCGAAAGCTTCACTGTTCTCACCTTAGAAACCAACGCTTATCTTGTAAAATGAAAGATATTTGAAGATGTGAGAAATGTTTGCCCTGCATAGAAAGGCATTTTATAAGGACATAAGCATAAATCAAAAATCAATATATTCCACAGAGACCTTGAACTTCACAACTTAATAGGCTATATAATAATAGTTTGTGACCGAAATTGTGAGGGCAAAAGTTCTCACTTGTCCTTGAATTTCTAAACCGTTTATCTACATGGATGCCAAAGGGAGAAGCAGAGACTAAAAACTGTAATTTACGTAAACATCAAGAATATTCCTCTTAACTCTTTTTCATGCTATGTTTCATAAGTTCACCAAATGAGCAAATTAAAAATCCCCAAGCTTTAAATACCATAGAGGCAGGTCTGATCACAAGGCATTTGCCAGAATGATAATGGTATTACAAGCATTCTCAATCAATAAGTTTTCTTTCAGTAGTTAACAGAGAGGTAAGAAATAAATCTCTAACTTAATCCAACCAACATAGCGGCAGAATGCAAAAAGCTCTATGAACGGTAGATACTAAATTTTTTAAAAGCACTAAACCACAAACAAGCAGTTGCAAAAGCTCTTCATTCTGATAGTCTATACAAACAAGATTATAGGAGATAAAAAAGGGTGTTGAAAAAGAAAAAAATAAAGCCCCAGACATGCATTAAGCTAGTTTGACAGCTGCATTGTTCAACCGGTCCCATTGTCAGACCCAAAGATGTATTCAGTGCTACAATGTCTGCTAGCAAATAAACAAAAGACTACATTTTTCAAAGCAGGATGCCAATTCTATCATAATTTTCCCTCTGCTTCCCAAAAGGTCAGTGGTGCCTCCTTCCTGGTATGTGAGAGAACCCCCAACACAGAGGCAGGAAACAAATATTTGCTTTCAATACATGGGGACCCAGGACGCCATGCATGAAAGAGGTCTCCAAACGGGTACACATTTTGGCAAACAGGATAAAGTGATCCAAACCTGGTAACACAGGAGGACTATTTAGGTAGGCTAAGTCCAGATTAGAGCGGTATTTGGAACGCAAGTCTAATATGGAGTCTCCTCAGCTCCTTTTTCGGTGATTATTCCATGCAGAGTGCATAAAAATGAAAGAGGCTTAGACATTGCAAAGGAAAAGACGAACCAAGATCCAGATTCAGAGCCCTTAAAATTATCCACTGGCCACTCACAAATAGCAGTGAGCAAATACATGATATGCTTTCAAAAGGCAACTAGTACAAATAGAATTCACGGCAGTCCTCCGCCTTTCTCTCGCTGGCTCTCTCTTTCTCCCAATCTCTGGGTCTCGATTTCATCTCCCTCTTCCTCTTTAGATTCTTTTTCCCCCCTTCTCTTCTAAGGTAAGGAAGCTACTTGATTCAGAGCATAATTATTGTCTCAGCCAGCTCTAGAAACTAGAAAAGCGTGCATTAAAAACAAAGGACACAACAACATACCTTAAAAGCAGCTCTTCATTTCTCATAGTAACAGCGGATTTGGGACAGCGCATGCTTCTATACTGATAGTCTCAACAAAAGCCAGTTCAGAAGTATGCTCAAACATCAATGCCACAGTCGCTGCTCACTAACGCGCCCTCTCCTCCCTCTCTCTCTCTCTCTCTCTCTCTCTCTCTCTCTCTCTCCCTCTCTCTCTGTCTTCCCACTCTCTTCCCTAGTCAAATGCTGAATAGTAGAGCAAGGGGGCTCCTGCAGATTCACTAAGTAGAAATAATCCTCTCTGACAAGTTATGTTGTCTATGCATATTATTACACTAATACACTGTGCTGCCTATAGGGGTCTTGTCTGCATTCACTCAAGCCTGGCTGGTATTACTTCTCCTAATTACCATCTTTAAAAATTGGGGGAACAAAAAAAACAACAACCAAGGAACTCATTTACCTTTTTCTTACACACTTAATAGCAAAACCAATTTCCCAGTTGCCTTTTGCTATCAAAACTACCAGCAAGCATCGCAGATGAGTAACCACAGATTGGGATGGGTCAGTGTGCTAAAAAGGATTTTTGCCTCTCTTTTCTGGGACACTGCATTCACAGTTGGATTCATCTGCTCCTCTTGTCTTGTCCTCAGGAAGAGTGACAAGGTCAAGACCCTTAGCCCCACCCTGAGTCATAGATGCATAGCATAGAGATCGAGGATTTGGAAATATTTTAACTCTGTGCGCACCAGAATTCTCACAAATCAGAGCGTCATTCACCTGGAGGAGGGTATCTAAAGGAGGCAGGCAATGCAAAGATTGTTTGGTGGCACTGGAGTCCTCATCGACACAGGAGCATCATCTGCAAAAGACCAATGAGTTGCTCTTTTCTAAAATAAGAAAAATCTGCTTTCCTACCAGGCTTCGCATGTACAGTTAACCAGGGAAATATACATTGTACTTCTGTTTATTGGAATTAGAAAAATTCTACGCAGATTAGCCAAGTAAAATAACAACACACACACACACACACACACACGCGCGCGCACACACACACAGGAAAGAAGAGATGCTAAGGACTGAGCAATCCGTCATCAAAAGTGCAAGCTAAGGCACTATTCCAGGAGGTGTGTGCTGACCTGAAGCCAAGAATGCGCTCAGCTTGGATGGAACAACATAGAACAGCCTCAAACAGACGTGGGTCACTGAATCCTGGTCCCGCTCCCATTCTCCAACATGCACCTCAGTATAACCTGGACTCAAAGCATTACTGGGGATAATAATAGAGGAGGAAAGTAATGGTGGACTCTGTTCCCCACCTATTTGAAGATCTGGAACACACTCCAATTTCTTGCTAGGTCTCTGACCTCTGAACTTGGTCTTGATCCACAGCTAGAAAAATGAACATGTTCTCTGGGCAGGGGGAGACGAAGGTTTTTAAATCTCCACTGCACAGAAATCTTGCATGATGTATCAGCTGGACTATGGCAAATAAGCGAAGGATAGCACTCACCATCCCTATTTCTAGAGGGCAACAAGAAGGCGTGATGAGTCACTTGACAAAAATCAGATCATGAAATGAGAGCCTTGTCCCTAAAACAACCCCATTTTTTTTTTACATATTCTTGCTTCATTCTAACATATGAAAGTTACAGTGAATATATAAAAATGAACAACCTTGCCAGCGAATGATATCATATAAAATCTAAGATGTTCTTTTGAAGTAAGAAAAGCATCATGTAAATGAGCTTGGAACCAGAGAGATCTTAGGGAGAAACAGTTTGAGCCCATTCGCCTTGTGACTTGTGCTCGGTGCTGGGGCAGAAGTCTCTTAACCTCTCTGTGGCTCTCTTTACTCCAGCGGTTAAATGGGGGCAACAAATGCTAATTTATTTTAAAGCATGTGAAGAGCTTGTAGTGAAACTGGGTGTGTTCAGTCAGCGTAAATATTATTAAAAATGGGATAACTGGACTGATACCAGCCACCGGTTTTGTCCATTAGAGAAAAGTAAAAATACGCTGCTCGGACACAAAGCCCTTTTTGCATATTTCCATGCAGTTTCTAATGGGGGCTAAACTATGAAGCAAGCACTAACGTACAACAATAATGCAGTTGCTTATCCAAAGGTAAATTCTTAACATTGGAAGCCCATGTTGTAGTATATGGGGCTGTTCCTACAGTGAAATAAATTGTGGATCCATGGTAGTAAGGACTGGAACTGAACCAAACCATTAAATATTTTATACTCTCTCCACTTCCTTTTTAGTCTACGGATGTAAATAATGAGAACGCTATTGAGGTAGAGTTTAGTACCTGTCTAAACGCCACTAAGATGACAGATTGAGGGCTTTACATCCACCATGTGCTAAACCTGGGTTATAAAGATGAGTAAATAGGAAGAAAGGATGTAGTTTATAACATGTACATAGTGTATATAGTAAGTCTTTGACCTCCCCAACTCCACATGGAATTAATCTTTGCACTTCTTAATGCACCCACTAGAATATTTTTCCCTTATCTGATAATTAATACATATTTGTTAAATAAAGGAATGAATTTATGTTTAACCACTGGAAATGTGAGGAGAGGACTATTTTATTTTCAAAAAAATTTTAAATGCCATTTCTCTAACAACTATGTGAAAAAAAAAATAACCTTGACGTTTCTTATTCTAATTCAGGCACTGGTCAGCATAGATGACTACACTGAGATATTCCTTTCATGCTATTGTGTTTTACATTTCAAGACCTTTTCACATTTAGCAATTGATTTAATCCCCATGACAACATAGTGGGCAGGCACCGCTGGTTCCTTAACCCCCTTAGCTGCAGAAATTCAAGTGTAGGAAGTGGCTGGAGTGACTTACCTGGAGAAGATGCAATAATGATGGAGCTTAGGCGCTCATTCTACCGACTGCTGGGCCTGCCCCTTTCTACGACACCACATGCAACCCAATGCCCCCACTGTGCACAGAGATCCGCATACTCGCCCCAGCAAAGCATAGTTTTTAAGGAGTGCTTAGTGTAATGAATCTTACACTTCCCTAATGTGATAGTAATAACCTTAGGGGATAGTGATACGGTTTGGCTCTGTATCCCCACCCAAATCTCACCTTGAACTGTAGCTCCCAAAATTCCCACGTGTTGTAGGAGGGACCTGGTGGGAGATAACTGAAATCACAGGGGCGGTTTTCCCCATTCTGTTCTCGTGGTAGTGAATAAGTCTTATGAGATCTGTTGGTTTTATAAGGGATTTCCTTTTTCACTTGGCTCTCATTTCCTCTCTTGCCTGTTGCCATGTAAGACGTGACTTTTGCCTTCCGCCATGATTGTGAGGCCTGTCCAGCCACATGGAACTGTGAGTCCATTAAACCTCTTTTTCTTTATAAATTACCCAGTCTCAGGTATGTCTTTATCAGCAATGTGAAAATGGACTAATACAGATAGATAGTAAGTTAATGAAAAATTGCTTAAGCAGTTTCTGACTTGGATACTAGTATCAAAGCAATTCCTTTCAAACTTTATTCCAAATGAAGGTCGAGTTGAGCCTAGACAGACTAACAACTTTTGGGGGCTAATTATTAATATTTTTTGGGATCATCTGCAGTAGGAGCCAATTTTTAACAATCCTGATTATTACTATATTTGGTTGGTAGGGATTTCTTTTTTTCCAAAAAAAAAGCAGTAATTAACAAAGAACAATAAGAAAATCTTAGATTGTTCGGATGCCCTCTATATCCAAAAAGATGTTTTTGCTGTATAAATTACATTTTTAGCTAATAATGCAAACTTGATGAAGAAAAAAACTAGAAAAGTTCTGCAATGTGAGAATATTGGCAGTGAGCTAAGAATCAGCCAGCTTCTTGGCCTTTTCAGATTTGAGCTTTCTAAACAAATTTAAAAGGTGAAATTATAGGTGCATTTGTTTCTGTTATAGGTAATTTCCAGAAGAAAGAGCTAAATTTCCAAATACAACTTAATGATTCTTAAGTTTTTTTTCTGCTTTCTGTGTCTTGTCTTTGCATTTTGGCATTTACATTGCAAAAGTAATAGAAAGTATCATTTCAATGGAAGTGTTAATACAAAATATGCCAGAGCCTGACAGAACAGATTCCCTCTTTGATAAGCATGGGACAGTACACAAATCTAGCCTGCCTCTCAAATCCTAAAAGAACAATCCAGGAATGTGGAGGCATCAAGGACATTAAATCTATTTAGCTGCTAGTTTCAGATACTGAGAACTGCCAAGTTTAATTAAGAAACATCCCATATTGCTCTGGAAGATGGAAAGAATACATAGAAAATTTGTTAAGTAAATATGAAGCAATGATCAAGGTCTAAAAGAAATGGATTTGCAGTGTACCAAGTGTGTGATACATAGTAGGAGCTCGGTGAAGTTGATAAATACACGTGCAAATGGATGAACGTTCTTCTATTCTGCTGATGTCACACTGAAGACACAAAGCTCCTCTGACCCCAATTTATCAACTGCAGAAGAAGGGTCTTTCTCTATGGGTGCAACAGAGGCAAAGCAGTGACGTCTGCAAATAGTGGGGGAGCCCAGGGCAGCACTGGGGACAGAAGCCGAAGACTAATGGAATATGGTGCAATCCTTCTTCCAGACCCCAGTTCCATGCTCTGCCTCGTGGGGGAAAATACTTCCAAAGCATAAAAGACCCGAGTATCACAATTCACTACCTGAAACATAATACTGACAGTGGGTTTAAAGTAAGACACCAGTAGCATTGCTAAAGAAAGGGTTTGACAGTATCTGGGGAACTTGTTCATATGAGTTGCTTTCACTTGAGCAACTCAAAAATGACCTGTCAGTCATACTGTGGAAGCAGGAGGTGGCCATCCCAGTGACAAATCCAAGGGCCCTAAATTCCAAATGGAGACTCCTTCCACAAAGACTGTTCACTCATTTTCAAATTGGAGCTGTTTACCAGGAGGAGCAGGGCGCAGGAATGATTAATGAGCAAGACTAATTGTAAAGCCCCTTATCATGATAAAGTGTCACATTTATCAATATGTATGTATAAATAGCAAACCATAAAGTACTTGGAACTCCAAGAAGCCACTTGAAAATAGGTACTAGATAAATTTAAGAAGTATTGTTCTAAAGAGTAATCATGATTCTCTGCTGTAAATGAAAGCAGACACCAAGAACTGGCTTCAGAGGACTATGTCTGTGTAGGTAAAGAAAGGCCCATTGAAGACAAGAAGAAGAAAGGAAAACATTTCCCATTAAAATAAACTATCATGGATAATGTAGTTGATTAAAAAAACAAACAAACAAACAATCAAAAACTAGCTTTGGTTTGTGAAATCTTACAACTTAGCAGACAACATGTTCACAATGGAGAGATCAGTTTTGGCCTAATGTTTTGCCAAGCACCACTTTCAGGCAGGTGGGAAATCTTAAGAAGGCCACAGGTGAATATTCATAAGTTAGGCGTTTAATATTTATGTGGAAAATGGACCAAGTTTATTCTTGCTATTTTTAGAGGAGGCAAAGGCACAAGCAACTCCCTTTCTTCCTGCTCAAAGTGCCAGGTCAGAGAAACTACGTTACTCGACCATTATCTGGGCATCCAAATGTGAATATGACCTTTGGTGCACTTGGGGATCTTCCTTTCCTAGTGGTTTTGATTCTAGGGAATCCTAAGAAGTAAACTGCACAAGCTTAATAAAGACCACAGTGGAGTGGATCAGCCTTCCTTCCTGGAAGGTGAGACCAATATGGCAATTCATATGATCACGTGACGGAAATGCAAGAGAGACCCAGATGGTGTAGGAAAGATGAGTTTGAAACTATCATAACACATCCACAACTCTTTTTAATTTTTTATACTTTTTCAGAGATGGTGTCTTGCTCTGTTGCCCAGGCTGGAGTGCAGTGACACAATCATAGCTCATTGCAGCCTTGAACTCCTGGGCTCAAGTGTTCCTCCCACCTCAGCCTCCCAAGTAGGTAGGACTACAAATGTGTGCTTCCATGCTCATCGCATAGCTCTCATATAATACTCAGGTGCTTTCAATGTTACCTTTCTATATCACCCTCTGAAACTAAGTTATTTACTTATTAACTTGTTTGTTATCTGTTTCCTCCATGTGAACCTAAGTTCCATGAAAACAGGGAGCTTCTCCATTTTATCCCCACTTTAGAACAACGTGTGGTATGTGGTAGACACTTAGGAAACATTTGTTCGGAGGATGGATTTCTTCACGAAGCATTCTTCCTGTGCGTTACCTAGTCTCAGTGGCTTGCAGCTGTATCGCACAATTTGTGAAATACCACGCTCAACGAGGAGTCATTAAGTTATTCAGCTAGAACAGGGAGAGACAAAAAGATTAGGAAGGGCCTGTTCCTAACTTTAAGGATTTGATACATTCCTTGAGATGGAATGATAAACTTGATGTTTTCATAATTGTTTTTGAATTTTAAAGCACCATTTATATGGGTACGTTGAAAATAAAATGATAAAACTGTATATTACCTTCATTACTTTCCATAAATGCTAAAGTTTGGGAGTTCATAAACTGCAGGCAGGTAGAACAGGGCATTGAAGATGAGATGGGAAGACAAGACTTTCAGAATTAGGAGCAATGGGAGCAGGAGGGTGATTTTTGTGGTGGCTTGGCAAAAGCAAGTGTCCTATAGGCCAGGAACAAGAATCAGAAGCCAGTGTAATTTTTGCTTCATTCATTTTTAGGAGTAGTTCTACTTTTTGCATTTAATGCTTCAGTTGACTGTGCCACAGCCCCAAGAGCTGGTGTCACCTCATTTCTTCCCGGGTCAGCCTGCGCTCTGCTGACCTCCCACCTCACTGAGATCCCCCAGAGATCAACAGCAAGTTACTCTTACGAGTTCTATCCTCTGCCTGCTATTAAAAACAAATCACTGGAAGCTATTAAAGGCCCCACACATTTCCTTAAATCAGTTCCTAATGAGATATACCATCACTTTTTAAAGTGCATTAAATTTTATTTTACATTGCAGTGGTAGAAAGTAAGCATTACTTTTACTTTCCTATTCCTTGTAAATATGGCAAATGCTCTAAGCACATAACTAAGTTATGATCCCCAAAAGAAAGTCCCTGGCAGGTTTCTAGAGGCCAAAGAGGTAGTGGAGACAAGGCAGAGAGTAGCCTAGGGCTGAGTGAGGAAGGATATTGCATTTCACACTAAAGACTCTGCCATTAGGAAGCCATGAAAGGTTTGGGGCTCTAGAAAGATAACTCAGCATTGTATTAGCCTGTTCTCACGCTGCTAATGAAGACATACCTGAGACAGGGTAATTTATACAGGAAAGAGGCTTAATTGACTCACAGTTTCACATGGCTGAGGAGGCCTCACAATCATGGTGGAAGGTGAATAGGAGCAAAGTCACATCTTACATGGTGGCAGGCAAGAGAGCGTGTGCAGAGGAACTCCCCTTTATAAAACCATCAGATCTCATGAGACTTACTATCACAAGAACTGCATGAGAAAATCCAGCCTCCATGATTCAATTACCTCCCACCGGGTCCCTCCCATGACACGTGGGGATTATTACAATTCAAGGTGAGATTTGGGTGGGGATACAGAGCCAAACCATATCAAGCATGAAGCATGGACTCAGAACTTGGAAGAGTCTCGAGACAGGAAGGAAGGGCAGTGGGAAGACCACCCTACAAGTGAGCGACTACGGGGCCCGTGAGGGAGGTTCTTTTCTTTGTCAACCACTGCCTACTTGTCCAGCTTGTGCAAGATGCATGTAATATTTATGTGGAAAAGGGACCGAATTTATTCTTGCTATTTTTAGAGGAAGCAAAGGCACAAGCAACTCCCTTTCTTCCTGCTCAAAGTGCCAGGTCAGAGAAACTACGTTACTCGACCATTATCTGGGATCCAAACGTGAATATGACCTTTGGTGCACTTGGGGATCTTCCTTTCCTAGTGGTTTTGATTCTAGGGAATCCTAAGAAGTAAACCACACAAGCTTAATAAAGACCACAGTGGAGTGCATCAGCCTTCCTTCCTGGAAGGTGAGACCAATATGGTGATTCATATGATCATGTGATGGAAATGCAAGAGAAGCCCAGATGGTCTAGGAAAGATGAGTTTGAAATTCTCATAACACATCCATAGCTCTTTTTCATTTTTTATACTTTTTCAGAGATGGTGTCTTGCTCTGTTGCTCAGGCTAGAGTGCAGTGGCACAAAGGCTTGCATCACTTAGCTATGAGAGCCATCCCGTAAATCTGCATTATCACCCACATGACACAAATGAGGAAACACAAGGGCCTGGCAGATTAAAAACGGCCCAAGCTGACACATGCAGTACGTGGAAGGGATGGGCATCACTATTCCATGTTGCCAGGCAGCAGCTGTAGAGAGAGGAGAAGGGCCAAAGCAGATTTTAGCAGTAGAATCACAATGTGAATAACTGAGTGGGTGGAATGAAGAAAACCAAGGAGTTGAAGATAATTCTGATGTTTCCAACACGGACAATTTGGCAAATGATGATACTGTTGACCAAGAAGGCAACCAAAAAAGGTAAAACAGGGTCATTGGGGAAGATAAGTTACTCTGCTGAGAATAAGCTGAGCTTGAGAAGCCTGTGGGCAGCACCTCCCAGGGGAGGAGGAAGTTAGATGATACTGCAGTGGAAGAGACCAGCCCAGAAAAAAGTTGAGGGCAACAAAAAAAAATGGGATCTGGAGGAGGACCAGAACTGCGGGGCAAATCCAAACTTGACAGCGGGGACAAAGGAGGATGTTCCAGCAAAAGAGAACACCAAAGGCATTATAAAAGGGTTGAAACCTAGTTGGAGTAAGAAAGTATATACATACAAAGTTATGAGTTACCTTGCCATCGATGAGATCATGAATTCTTTATTTGGATGCTGAATGAAAAAACAAGGCAGTACAAATAAGAGGCAGGAACATGCAGAAAGTTTCAGAAACCAGTTGGGAACTGGGGCAGTAACCCACGAAGGCAGCCTAGCATGGGCCTGCACATGCCCGGAGAAAGGAGGCGGGGACAGAGGAAGACCCTAGAGGTCGAATAAAATCCTTGCCTTCACCGACGCTAACCAAACCTTCAGCTCCTTGCCCTCATTTCTGAGATAGAATCATAAGTGCTCTGCTATTCATCACCATCTCCTCTAATGTATAACTAAAAAGTAACAGGGCTAGGGGGCTGGAGTAGGGGCACTGCACCCAGCTTTCTGAACAGACAAGCAAAGGTGCAGAACAAGCTCTTATGCTTCCAGCAGGCCAGTTGGGTTCAATATTTCCAGAAAAGCAACAGCACAAGTTGATTTTGAAGATATCTTTGAATTTGGCCATATAAGGACTCCAAAAAAATTATAAAAAAT
The DNA here is from genome assembly GCF_000001405.40 of Homo sapiens. NCBI lineage: Eukaryota > Metazoa > Chordata > Mammalia > Primates > Hominidae > Homo > Homo sapiens. The sequence goes on along the minus strand of NC_000010.11, from coordinate 10,996,097 downwards.
TAGAAACTCTACATTTGCATAAAATGTCCTGGGCCAGTTGTTTTATACTTTAAACTTTTTTAGTAAAAAATATGATATACTTACAGGAAAGTTCACCTAAGTGTTTAGCTCATGGAATATTCACAGACTGAACATACCCATGCAGTCAGCACCCAGATCAAAAGAGTCTTATGTTCATTTTTAATTCCAGAACCAATGCATAATTTGATGAACATAAATATATAGAAACTAGAATGCCCATGAGTTTACATTGTCAGAGAGACGAGAATCTGTTGAACAACACTTTCCCAACCACTTCCTCCCATCTCTACTACGTTAGTTGAGGCCATCAGACCTCATAAGGAATCTCCCTGTCCCTAGTCTCTCTGGCTCTGATCCATGCTACACATTTCAGCCAGAGTTATTTAATACTGAAATATGGTCATAGCTGTCTCCCGCTTACAACTCTTTGAAGGTGTCCCCTACCCTAAGATGAAGTCCAAGCCACATAATAATGCCCATGAGATCCACCTATGTCTCCAACTCATCTCTCAGGTATTCTCACCTGGCACACCTGAACTTCTTCCAATTCCTCAAATACACAATTTCTCTTGTGTCTGTGCTTTCGTTCATGCTGTTTTCCACCAATGCAAAACTCTCCAGTGATCCCCACCCTGTGACTGGGTTTATTTCTGTGTATCCTTCAGGGCTGAGCTTAAATATCAAGCACCAAGCATAAAAATAGGTGCTCAAAAATACTGGCTGGCTGAACATATGATTAATTCGATGACATCATCTCAGGAGAAAAGGAGATACAAAGATGTCATAATATGGTCCCAGTTTCAAAAAATAAAAATAAAAAATGTGACGAGCTACATGAGCCACACGTTTCTTTTTCTGAAGGACTACAGTGTTAGTTATCTAAAGTTGAATTACTCTAAGGAGGATTCAAAAGAGGCACGGGGCATAGCTCCTGCCCTTAAGGAACTTATAACCAAGTTAGAAAGACACAGCTTAATTTGGGAAACAAAGAATAATGCAGTGTCTAATGCTGTGGGATTTTATGGGCCGCAAGAGCTCCAAGGAAGGGCAGGTGATAAGAGCGCGCTGGAATCACCAGGGAGACTTTTGCAGAGACAGGACTTGGGAGACTCTTGAAGGGTGTGCCTTCACTGGGGTAGGACATGGAGGGAAAGTGTGAGATAGCCCTGCAGAGGAGACTAGCCTGAGGGCAGATTACATGAGAGACAGTAAAAGAAAGCCTGAATAGAAGAGCTTGGATTGACAAAGGTGGAGAAACAGACACTAGGAAGAATGAGGCTGAACTATGAATCTTATACATCAGCAGTCCCCAACCTTTTTGGCACCTGGAGGGTGGGGTGTGGGGGTGGGAGGGGGGAATGATGGTTTTGAGATGAAACTCTTCCACCTCAGATCATCAGGCATTAGACTCTCATAAGGAGCATACAACCTAGATCCCTTGCATGTGCTGTTCACAACAGGGTTTGTGCTCGTTTAAGAATAGAATGCTGCTGCTGATTCAACAGGAGGCAGAGCTCAAGCAGTAATGCAAGCAATGAGGAGCGGCTGTAAATACAGATGTAGCTTAGCTGACTCACCTGCCACTCACCTTCTGCTGTGTGGCTGTGTTCCTAACAGAGCTGGGGACCCCTGTTGTAAATCAGGCAAAGGAATCTGCATTCAACATAGTAAACAATGGAGATTCCCTGTAATTTCTGGATCAGTAAATGAGAATCCTCTCTGAATACATCAATGAGAAAGTGAAGGACAATTTTGGTGGCAGGTAGCTGACAGGTAGACCATGATGTTCTAAACATTAAAAGCACTTGCACAATATAAAAATAATCAGAATTTGAGATCATGGTGGAACAAGAGAAAGAAACAGACACTCTGCAAATGTAAAAATAATGAAATATCCCCTTCTTCCAATTGCTTCTTTACCAATGACAACTCTAGTCCTTCTTTAATCTTCCTGCTGTCTATACATAAAAACTACCAAGATACTTGTGTTAGTCAGCTAGGGCAGCTGTGATAATATACCATAAACTGAGTGGCTTAAGAAACAAAAATTTATTTCTCACAGTTCTGGAGGCTGGAAGTCAAGATCAAGGTGACAGCAGGTTTGGTTTCTCATGAGGCTCCTCTCCTTGGAGCCTTCTCCCTATGCCTGCACATCTCTAGTGTCTTTTTTTTCTGATAAGGATACTAGTCCTACTGGATTGGGGCCCCACACCTATGACATCATTAACTCTAATTACTTCCTTAAAGGTTCTATCTCCAAATACAATCACATTCCCAGGTACCAGGGTTAGGACTTCAACACACAAATTTTGGGGAGAACACAGCTGAGTCCATATCGATATCCAATGCTTTCTGAAAACATCCAATCCAGGACTGTCCTCCAGTTCTCTAATACCCCATTAGAATCATGCAGCACAAGCCCTATTTCTACAATAAGCTCCTTCCAACTCTCTTTTTCCAAGTTGTCCCATCATAACCTTGGCAGGCATTCTCTTTTGCTGCCACAATTATGTAAATATAGCTTTGACTACAAGTGTGTTCCCAGTGGCTTAGGCTGTTAGACTTCTATACCAGGATCTTCCATATTCCTGAGGCTTGCCTTTCTCATGCTTGGTGTCTGCCTAAATTGGCATTTCCCCTTCCCAGTTAACTCCTGCTCATCCTTACAGTTGCAGTTCAAATATCACCTGCCCTGAAAGTGTTTCCCAATTTACTCTTTCTAGTAGCTTCAATTAGATGCCTCTTGTGATGGCTTTGAAATGAGTCAAAGCCTTTGTAATGAGTCAAATGTAGTTTGGCCAGGCCAAACTACATTTCCCAAAATTCATTTAAAGATATTTCTAGTTAGGGTGAGACACAAGATTCTTGGGAGATCTGAAGGACAGAAGGGAAGCAACAGTTATTTTGTAGCTCATACACCTTATTACTGATCTGCTGACTCGCCTCTTCGGTGGGAAACAGCAGCTGGCCCTGCAATTGTTCTGCCCTGCCCTGGATCATCCGCCCTGAGTTTCTCTGAATTCTGGGCCAGGCATGTGTTTAGCTGTCTCACCAAGGTCAATGAACCTTACTGAGACAGAGACAACAAGAATATATAAGTGTTTCAGCACATCCTCAAGTAGTTCAAGCTGTGGTTGTGGGCTTTAGCCTGCCCTTGATCTCCTCCACTTTACCATCTTTCCTTGTTAACTATTTGGTCTACAGACTTCAAGTTCCAGCACCAGATGTAGAGAAAAAAACCTTACAGAGACTGTTTAACCTACTGCCGTAACTGTGCAGTCAAATTCCTGTAACAAACATCCATTTATCACCTATCATTGAATTATCTATTATCCATTAATTACCTTTCTATTTAACTATTGGATCATCTACCTACCTATATATCCATCATCTATTGATCCTGCTAGTTCTGTTTCTTTGGCTGAACCCTAATACACCCTCTTCTGAAATATTTCTCCGTACTTCATCCAAACCTTGAATATACTTCTCTTGTATCATTTATTATACTTCATTGGCACAAATTTTGTGTTAGATTGGATTATTTTGCCAATTCTTTGCGCCCTCCTTCGATCATATGACCTTATAGTACAATAGAGTGAGTGGAATATATGTCCCCACTACATTGACATTGGGCTTGATAATGCCACTTGCTTTCATCATTAACACGTTACCCAACATTAGGTTAAATGTGCTTGTGTGTTTGGGTTTTTCTCTGACATGAGAAAAGCATGCCTGGGGAATCCGCTGTTCCTTCCACCTGGGTCCCAGAACAAACACACATGGAGATTTGAGCCCAACTCACAATTGAAAGCCAACCCCAGCTGACTCACAGTTTGAAAGAGAGCCACCTAACCTAGATCTGCCAAACCATTGTTGATCTGTAGATTCATAAGTGTAAGAATAAACATTTATTTCTGCAAACCACTGCACTGTGGAATAATTTGTATGTGGCCTTATTGCAGCAATTGACTAGTAAATTTGTTTTCTTGTCTGGGGCCCCATTAGAGTGTTAGCTCCTTGAGGTCAGCTACCATGATAAGAATTTCCATATTTCCCAATGCCTATTAAGGTACCTGGCACACAGTAGATACTCAATAAATGTTTGTTGCATAATAGCGTAAAAAATAACCAAGTGAATGAAGAACTATAGTAGAGAAAGGCATGGCACAGGGGTGTTTTAGGAAGGAGAAACTGATAGATGAGTGTAGGATGGAAATAGGGAGTAAGTCTAGAATCAAGTAATAAACATAATGGGATCTGTGCACAATTATGGGATAAAGTGTTGTCTACTTTTTTCAAGAGGCCACAGGGGTTCCATGTGGTTCCAGTAATTTTTGAAGAGCATTTCCTTCCCTCTTTCAAGTCTTTGGGGGCAGCTGCAGTGGCTTTCTGTAGCAACATTAGAGAAATTGATGAAAGATGAAAAGCCTCAAACTCCTCCAAAAAAAATTGAGAAAACAAAATTACTGAGAAGTAAAACTTTCCTATTTTTCTTCAGATAACCTTGTCTCAGTGTAACAGTCTAATTTGTTATGGGCAGTTTATCACCCCCAGGATGCACTGGTGGATTTGTTGGGGACAGGCAGGTGTGACACCACATCTGAAGCTCTCCCAACTCTTAGCCTGGTTACCAGAGGTCTCTGCAGCCCATTTGTCTCAGTCTTCTCAGCAGGATCATCCCCACTGAGACTCTTGTCACATCCCCTTAGCGTGTGCCTCATAGGCCTGTCATCAGAATTGCTTCTTAGGAGACAGCTTGAAGGATGCCAAATTCATTAGCTGTCGTCAGCTGAACTTTGCAAACCTTTTTCTTACCTTGAACAAACAGCACACACATATACACATGTGCACACATGCACACCCAACACCACAAATACCCACAAGGATTCCACTGTGTTTTGGAGAACAAAGAGAGAGTCTGTATTTTGTTTGGTGTCAATCATAACCTGAGATTAAAGCCGCTGTTTTATGCATTCAAAAGTTACACCCGCCAAACTCGGCTTTCTCTGCCTAAGCTGTGAACTTCAAAAGGAATACTTTATGGGGGGAAAAAAACTCACACAAACAAAACAACACACACGTGTGGGCACACACACACACACACACACGCAAAAGAACCTCAAAAAGATGCTGTAAGCACTGGAATGCATTTCATTTTCATTCTTTAAATGAAGACTCAATGCCAAAATGCCTGCAAAATTATTCTTAGGGTTATGGAAAGCCACTGAGAACACAGGTTACCCCAAATGATACCCAAACCATGTTGACTTAGTAAAATGTCAGTTGGTACATTTCTGAGCATCTTATTGAATCCTCTTTCCTGGCTATCTCAGGCAGAAACAAGACTTGTTTTATAACAATTATTTATCTACAAATCTCTGGAAGATCATTATCTTTTTTAGCCTTTATTTAGCATCTTGCTACAAATGAAACTTATCTATGAAATACACTGAATTGCCACTGAGCGTATATTATACTATTATACTACTAAAACTTTACCATTGAAAGACTCTTAATTTAGATGCCATTAACTCAGATTTAGTGATAATTTGGACATAGAACATGATTCTCTTAAAAATAACGTTTATTGTTTTTAATGATTACAAAAGCAATTCATGCTCATAATAATGCTCAGAAACACAGATAAGTATAAAGAAGAAAAATTATCTACACCTCAATCTCACTAGATACAAAATTGTTTAACTTTTGGTAATATTTCCTTTTAGTCATTTTCAATCCATATACTTTGTCTCTTTATATAAAACTGTGGTTGTATTGATCAGAATTTTTAATCCTTTTTATACAACATGATATATTTTTCCCACATAATGACGTTGAAAATATTTTCCAAGGATTATATATTATTTCATTTTACAAATATCCCATAATTTATTTAACCATTCCTCTAAGATTAAATATTAAGGGCATTTATAAATGTTTACTTTTATATATAGCATTGAGATGAAAATTCTTGTGAATGTATGTGGGTAATTCTGATTTTCTTCAGAGAGAAGATAACTGTTTTACATCTTAACATAAATTACTAAATTGCTTTGCAGATTTGCAATGGACATTCCCCCATATACAAGAGTGGCTTGCTATTCTCAAGTGTACTGTTAATTTTAAATTTGTACTATGATGAGTGATGACCTGTTACTTCACTGTTTTCTTTGCATGTCTCTGAATACTAGTGAAGATAAATATTTCTCCCAATGTTTATTGTCCTTTGTCTACTTTTATGGTCAGTTTATGTGCTTTAGTCATAAACTGTTTTTTTAATCAAGTTGAAACTGTTCTATATTTATTTATGTATTTTAATTCCTAAAAAAGATTTTTTCCCACAAATCATAATTTATTTTTAATGATTAAAAATGTTTTGGTCTGAATTTACAAACTTTCATATAGCCAAAGATTTCAATAACTTGCTTATTTTATTTAACATAAAAAGTCTCACCTACCCTGAGAGTAGATTTTTACCTTTGTGTTTTTTTCATTTTCCTTTTTTACTATTTGATCCATTCACGATGTATTTTGGTTCATGGTGTAAGGTGAAGATACAACATAATTATTTCTTTTTTCCACGTGGGAAGTTTAACCAGTATCATTTATGATGCAGTCCTTTTCCCTGGGGTTTTTGGGGTAAGATGTGTATGTTTACATATCAGATTTCATGCTACTGAATCCGTCTGTCATTTCTTAGGTTGGTACCATGTTGCTTTGATGAAAAACTGGTAGCTATACTTTCTAACATCTGGTATAGCAAGTTACTCTTAGCATTATGCTTCCCTTTCAAAGCGAACTTCAAGCTGAGATTTACAATAAATTCAAATCAATTCAAAAAATTCTACTGAAATTTTTATTGGTATTTGTTCTGAACACTTGGATTTATCTGGGAAAAATTTAATGTATTTAGAATACTAGCTCTGTCCATCTAGAAGTATAGGCTAACTCTAAATTTACTCAAATTCTAACATTTTCTCTCTGCGAGGACTTAATGTTTTCTTCAGACAGTTCCCACGTGTTAACTACTGATTTAAGGTAAAGTTGTTGCTTAAAATTTTTTTCAGTACACTGTCCTTAAATTCATACAGATCTTAAATTCATACAGATTTTTAGTTTTTTCACTTTTTATGTTTATATTTATCTTTTTGGCAAATGACAAAATTTCGATCTTTAGTGTTTCTAATGAGTGTATCTGTTTATTTGGGTTCCATGATTTATTGCTATGATCAGAACTTCCAGTACATTATTTCGTGAATGATGACAGTTTGTGCCCTTGCTCATCTCTTACCCAACTATCGGTTTAAGATAGCTGTCTTTCATTAAATTTTAAAAGTTCCTCTGTATTCCTCGTTTTCTAAGAGTTTCTTTAGCCTCTTAGGAATAAGGGCTTAATATTTTTTATATTTTTACTTCAATAGTTTTTGGGGTACAGATGGTTTTTGGTTACTTGGATAAGTTATTTAGTGATGATTTCTGAGATTTGAGTGCACTCATTATCCAAGCAGTCTACACTGTACCTAATATGTAGTCTGTTATCCCTCACCACCTCCCAACCCTCCCCACCAAGTCCTCAAAGTCCATTATATCATTCTTATGCCTTTGTATCCTCATGGCTTAGCTCCCACTTATAAGTGAGAACGTACGATATTTGGTTTTCCATTCCTGAGTTACTTCACTTAGAATAATGGCCTCTGGCTCCAACCAAGTTGCTGTAAAAGACATTATTTCGTTCCTTTTTATGGCTGAATAGTATTCCATGCTCTCTCTCTCTCTCTCTCTATATATATATATATATACACACACACATATATATGTATGTGTGTATATCTATATATCTATATATGTCACATTTTCTTTATCCATTCATTGGTTGATGGGCACTTAGGTTGGTTCCATGTCTTGGCAATTGCGAATTGTGCTGCTGTAAACAAGCATGTGTAAGTGCCTTTTTCATATGATGACTTCCTTTCCTCTGGGATTGCTGGATTGAATGGTAGATCCACTTTTAGTTCTTTAAGGAATCCCCATACTTTTCCATAGTGATTGTCCTAATGTGCATTCCCACCAGCTGTGTAAACTGTTCCCTTTTCACCACATCCATGCCAACATCTACTGTTTTTTGACGTTTTAATTACGGCCATTCTTGCAGGAGTAAGGTGGTATCTCAGTGTAGTTTTAATGTGTATTTCCCTGATAATCAGTGATGTTGAGCATGTTTTCATACATTTGTTGGCTGTTTGTATATCTTCTTTTGAGAATTGTCTATTCATGTTCTTTGCCTACTTTTTGATGGGATTATTTTTTTTCTTGCTGATTTGTTTGAGTTCCTTATAGATTCTGGTTATCATTATTGAGTTCCTATTGAGATCGTTTTTTTCTTATTGATCTACTGAGGTGATGTGTTATAGTATGTTAATATTATAAACTAAAACATCTTTTTATTTTCAAACAAACCACAATTGATTGTGGAGTATAATTCTTTTAATGTGCTCTATCTCTGAACTACATCAAGGGCCCTAAGTTAAAACACAATCTTAACTAGAAGTCCCAAAGACTATGTACCTTTTTTTGAGTAAAAAGTTAAAAAGCAAACAATATATCTCGATATTTTAAAGTTTAGGAAACATTTAATACAGCGCTGTTGTGACATATTTATTTTCATTCAACTAAGCAGTATATGTGTGTGTATATATACGCCTTAGTTTACGATAATATTTACAAAAATAGCTTACATTTGGGAAATTCTCCAATTTTAGGAAAAAAACTGTTCCGAATTAGTGAGGTTTTAGAGCAATGCCAGAAATGAAAAAAAAAAAAAGATCTCTAGAGAGCTGTTACAATGTTTTCACTATTGACTTACAAGGTATTCTAAAATGATCAATCCTTTTGCTGTTGGAGTTTTGGAATTGAGCGTCTCTGCTGTCTCACCAATCTCACTTTCTTCCTTTAATACCTTGTGACATGATTCAAGTAGTAGGATGCAATTGAGACGGTAGGACCAAAGGTAAAGATGACTACTGCCAGCTAGTCTATCCAAGCCTGACTTTCGGATAAATCTCTTGATGACTTTTCTTCCCATAAAATAAACAGTTTATACACTTGTACAGCAGACTGCACATTTTCATCAGTTACTGCTTGGACTGTGCCTTCCTCCTGCCACTGAAAGTCCTCAGGGCTGGGGGCCTTCTTCCCTCCTTTGATATAGTCATATAAACCCATTATATTTGGTGGTAAGAACGCGTGACCTTGTAGTGCTGACGCTAATGTTTATCTCACACATTCCTCCCTGTGAGCCTGGCCACATTGCAATGTGGCAGACATTGCCCTGTAGAGGGATTGGTGGAAATGCCCGTTACAGTTGTGCCATCATCACTTTAAGTGTGGTTTGATCCCCTTGAATTTATTAATTCAATTTAATTTTCAAAACATCACTAAGCAGCTGTCACATGAATGGAACTGTATTCCAATGTAAAGATACTTCATCTGATTATACAATACTCCTTTCTTCTTCCCAGATTAAAATTTTAATTTCTACTAATTGGGTATCAATACCTAACTAACTTCCACACTTTACAAGCTACTTAAAAAACACCTATCACACGTTTTCACCTTTAATGTAACGCATTTATCTCATATGAAAACCCACAAAATCAGTATTAAAGAATAGAATGAAGATGTAGTAAAGGAGATAATTCTTTATGAGATGAATCAGACTCACAGAAAACTTGATTATGTCCATGTTATAAAACAGCTTTCTTAGATATTAGAGGGAAAAAATCTCTATTGGTATTTTGATTTATCCTAGATTCTAGCAAATTATATGAAAATCAATCTTTAGAATTTTTTGCAATTTTAATAGTTTGAAATACAGAGAATATACCTTTTTTTTTTATAAAAAGTTTTACACTGTATAGATAAGTGCTATTGTTAGTATAGGATGTAAGAAAGTGGACAAAACTGGAAATTAATCTAATCAACTATCTATGGAATTTTCAGAAGTTGCTTGGGAGACAAATAGATAAATGAATGGTTAAAATTCCCTCTCAAATTCAGTGTTTATTTTCATCTCAACATGTAACTATTTTAACCGGCATTTCTATACAGTAGGTCTTCAAATTTCCTAGGGATGAGAAAAGAGTCCAGCTTTTACAAACATAGCCCACATGCCTATTCTATGGTTGGACAGGGTGACTCCAATGCCTGTCAGCTGCCCAGGAATGGGGTCATCATCGGTGTGGCTGTCATCAGGCCCACGTGCAGACCCAGCTTTGTGAGCACACATTCATGGGTCTTTAGCGAGAAGAAGAAACAAGAGAGGGAAGGAGAGAATGAGAAACCCAGGATTTCAAAGTGGAAAGCTTTAACTCTACTTTTTATATTATGACCACGGCAAGGCCAATCATTTAAGTATGGCTGCGGCTAATCCCACATTTCAACTAAGGACACTGTTTCTAGCATGAACCAGCCTTCCACAGGCAGCATCAAAATCTTCAACAAAAGGAAACTTGTAAAAGATGATTACCAAGCACTTACATGGAGACAATGTGTGCTTTGTGGTCAATTAAAATGCAAGAATAGTCTGTGTTGGGTGTCTTACAAAAGGGCCCTTTCTTCTCAGGATTTTAAGAAAGGCAGATCTATCAAACTTATGATAATGCATTGCCATGCTGATTTAATTGTCAATTACAAATTACTTAAGTGTAGTTTAAGGATCTATATAAAGCCTTATTTTTTTTTTTTTTACTTCTAATAGCTATTAATGGGTGTTAAAGAAAGTGAAACCATTTTACTAAAATGTAATGTGGGGGTGTATTAAGAATAAGTTTTCAAAATGATAAAATATTATCACCAAAATGTGAACCCCTGTACATTTTAATATTCCCGAGTAGGTCAGTCTTCACTGTACTGAAAGAACATTTCCTTGAAATGGCATGCAATTACAGTTTAAACATCTTCGTAGATGTTATACATAGAACGAAATTTTCCTAATTCCCAGCCAAAATGTTCCTTTGGAAATTGGAAAGGAAGTTGGGGCAACATATTTTTATATTTCCTCGAAAAGTTTGAGAAAATGTGAAACATTCGTCAATAGAATAGACTCCATTGACCACATTCACATGCCCGTTTCTCTTCTTTACTGCCCTGGTCCCTGTTGGCTTTTAAAATTGAAAGAATGAATGAGAAAGAAACATTTTGTGCTCTGTATAAGGACAAACATTTAGTCCAGTCAAGGTATGAATGTGCTTCACTTGACAGACATATCTCTAAAAAGAGGTATAATTTATATTCATATATTAAAATAATATTTTAAATATGCTAGTGGGTCTTGCTAAGGAGACAAAAATGGTGGTGAATCCCCTTAAAAGAGAGAGTCATTCTGTAATGAAACCATGATGTCCTAGTATATTTATTTGTCAGCCTAACTTTCCTGAACTAAGTTTCTTTAAAGGGAGGGCATGCATGCTACCTGAAGACCGCTTGAGTACATGCAACTGAGGTTATCCTCAAAGTGTACCTTTCTCTATCCTCTAGGATACTCACTAGACAAGGAGCTATTAGGAATATGAAATTAAATATCATTAGAGTCAGAATCAAACGGCGCCAGGCTTATGTCCACATAACCTAAAGTAATTGAGAGGCTGTACAATTATCCATCTAGCTAGTAACTGTAGATTGTTAAATAAGCCAAGTAGTCAAAGCAAAATAGCTATTTCAGAGTCTTAATTGTTCTACTTGGCAGCCTGCATTGCTCGCATTAAACAACCATCAACACTTCGTTTAGTTTTATATTTTATGATGGGATGTGAAGTAAAAAGAAGGTGGCCACTAGAGTAAGATAGGGCTTGGAGCGGATCTCTGACTCGACCCTCTGTGTGTCCTTCAGTAAGTTTCTTTTCGGAACCTATTTCCTCATCTGTGAAGTGGGGATAACGCATACCTCGCCTGAATATTACAAAGGTAAAATAAATTAACAGATGCCAGGAAGCTGACACATAATAGACACTTAATAAGTACTAGCTATTGTTCTATATGATCTTTTCAACACTGAGGTCTTTAAAAAAATCGGCAGATTCACATGTGTGGTTATAAGTCTTCCATTCGCAACTTAATAGTTCAGTAGTTGACTCAGAGGTTACATGCAAATTGCAATGCTGTCTTTTAAATCCTCGAGGGCAAGCTTCAAAACCTACATTAATAACAGATATATCGGCCAGGCGTGGTAGCTCATGCCTGTAATCCCAGCACTTTGGGAGGCTGAGGCAGGTGGATCACCTGTGAGGAGTTCAAGACCAGCCTGGCCAACATGGTGAAATCCTGTTTTTACTAAAAATACAAAAATTAGCCAGGCGTGGTGGCAAGTGCCTATAATCTCAGTTACTTGGGAGGCTGAGGCAGGAGAATCGCTTGAACCTGGGAGGTGGAGGTTGCAGTGAGCCAAGATTGTGCCACTGCACTCCAGCCTGGGCAGCAGAGTGAGACTCTGTCTCAAAAAAATAAACCAAAAACCAAAAACAAAAACTACGGATGTATCTTCGGTAGCACCCATCATAGCATAAGGCCTTTGTAGGGACTCAGTAAAAATTACAGACTGAATTGAGTCCAGTACAAGAACTAGAACCATGTTATATATGTGTTTACTCTTTGCTTCTCAAAGATAATTTTATTTTTTAATAGTCCCTAATCAATTCAATCAAGTAAACAGGTTAGGGAAGATATGTATCAACTTAGATACAGGTTACTAACTGAATACCCTACCCCCAAGCACCCTCAGCTAGTTTTACTAAAATGTGTATAAATAATGCTATGTGGACATGTGTGGTATTTAAGTAAAAATGTTTAAAATACATAATTCAGATGTATCACTTTTTATCTAATATTTTCATCTTGTATAAACCTATGTGTCTGAACTTGCCTTCTGAAAAATTGAAAAAAAAATAATGAAAAAAGAGCTTAAATTATTTTTTAAAATGTAGCACTTCAGCTAATTACCGGATTGAGAAGATGCAACCTCCAAGTCAGTAAAGGGCTAATATCCCATTAATATGGCAACATTTCTGGGGGAAGGGGCTCATTCAGCATATCTTGACAACATCCTTTTTGACAATTTAAATGAATACATACAAAAGCACAGTAGTCTTAGAAAATGCAAACATTAAAAAAAAAAAACACACACCAGAAAATTTCCAGTAGGCCATAAGAAATGACAGTAACTTCAAAACCAAATTCACCTTAAAAGTTGAAGATTTGAGGGTAGTTATGGGCAAGAATGGGCAAACTGGCAAGTGCCTGATAAATTAATTAGACTTAACATGGTTGGGAGAAAAATGTCATACTCATGTTGCCCAAATGAATATGCCTTAGGTCATAAAACAAATCTAGTTTAGAAGGGAACCAACTTCTTCCCTTCAGATCAAAGCTGGAACTACAGGGTAATAGGAAGAAAGCACTCAGCATACTTTAAAATCCTGGGATCTGATGAGCAGCTCTTTCCTGGACCTCATTCCTCCTTGTTCTGTCCTCATGTCCTTCCTTTGGGGCCTGTAGCCTGGGCTGGGACCCAGGTGCTGCTTGGTTAACCTCATCTATGCCCCCAAGATCTCCAGATTCCTAAATTTTTGTAGCAGCCAATAATTCATTTTCTGTGTTATTCTGAAAGCTAGTTTTCTTTTGTCGGTTTACAAATATATTATTAGGGACATGCCTCTGTGGGGGTTTGGGGTAACTGTAAGACTTCTACACCTCTACCTATCATTTCTACCTGGTTCCAGGTGCCAGAGGATTTTGATTGTATGGGCCTCAGGAAGTAGAAGAGAGGGTCGGCTGAGCATGGTGGCTCACACCTGTAATCCCAGCACTTCGGGAGGCTGAGGTGGGTGGATCACCTGAGGTCAGGAGCTGGAGACTAGCCTGGCCAACATGGTGAAACCTGTCTCTACTAAAAATAAAAAAATTAGCCAGCCATGGTGGTGGGCACCTATAATCCCAGCTACTCAGGAGGCTGAGGCAGGAGAATCGCTTGAACTTGGGAGGTGGAGGCTGCAGTGGGCTGAGATCATGCCATTGCACTCCAGCCTGGGCCACAAGAGTGAGACTCCATCTCAAAAAAAAAAAAAAAAAAAAAAGGAAAAGGAAGTCGAGGAGAGGGTCTACCAGGCAGTTACAAGTGGAGGCTTGGAAATTGGACAGACCTGGCTTTATATCCTGACTGTGTAGCCTTTCTAAGCCTCGGTTTTCTCATCTTTAAAATGAGAACTATATTATTTTACCTGCCTAATTGAGTAGAGGAATTAAGTGAGGAAATACATGAAAAGGCCTTGGCACAATGCCGGGCACATAGAAAGTGCACAATAAATGTTACTTACTTGTATTATTTCTATAGGTTCTCAACAGAAAAAGATGAGTGTGAAATGGAATAAAATGAGCAGAGCCCTAGAAAAGGGTGTAACTATGGCAAACACTGTTGGAAATACCTATTTCCTCTGAGTTTCATTGGAAATAAAGCATGCATGGACGATAGAACACTAAGTACATATTTTTGTTGTTTCTCAACTAGGTATAAAAACTCTGTATCTTAAAAAATATAGACAATCTAGGAAGTACTTATTGACTTGTGCAAATTACCGTCGCTGCGGATTCTTCAACCTTGAATCTATTAGACCACATATGCCGGCCACTTCTTCTGGCTTATTAGTTTTTAGTGCCCTCAAAATGCAGCATCAATAGGGTCTCACTAAGTGTGTGGTAAAGCCAATAAATGTTTTGACAGGGAGTACGGTTTAGTAAGCTCATTCCCTCCTCAGCCTTTCAACAAATCACATAGTTCAAACCAAAAAGAAAGTCCTTTGATTACAGGTACTTAACAGAAGTCTCTATAACGAAGTGGAATCCAAGTGCGAAGAAATGAATGAAATAAGTGAGAAACCTTCATTCATTCAGTTATATTTATTGGGCACCTACTCTATATAGACTCTGGGACTTCAGTGGGCGTGTCACAATGGCAGAAGGGTTCTCTCTGGAGCCCCTAATGCATAGACCCCTGCACTAGCAGTTCAGGATTTTGTGACACCTTCATTATAAAAAGTGTAGACGTACACAAATTAATATGTGCTGTCATGCCAGGTAATGAGTAGCGCTATCAAAAGAAATAAAAGGGGCTGTGTGTGGTGGCTCATGCCTGCAATCACAGTACAATGGGAGGCCAAGGTGGGAGGATTGCTGGAGACCAGGAGCTCAAGAGCAGCCAGAGAAACATAGGAAGGCCCCATCTTCAGAGGAAAAAAAGAAAGAATAAAAGGAGAGGAAAGGAGTTGGATTAAGGGATATTTTATAGATGTTGGTCAAAGAAGGCCTTTCTGACAAGGTGACATCTGAGCAGATTCTCAAATAACCTGTGCGGGTGCGAGAGACCGTTAGGAGATCATGTGAGTCCTCAGAAATGCATCCCAGTTAGTGGGAAGAGCAGGTGCAAAGACTCCTGAGACAGAATCCATTAGGTTGATGCAAGGTGATTGCCATTAATGTAAGAAACAGGAGGTTTTTAAGAAATAGCAAGAAGGCTAACCCAGAAGAAGCACAGTGAGCTGAGCAGCATGTGGAAAGCAAGAGAAGGAGGCCACGAGAACGTGGACTTTTGCCTCTTACAATAGAGGCACACCTGAGTCTAAGAGGCGAGAAGGGCTTCGAAGATAACATTCCTTCTACAATAAGGTGGGTACCATCTTGGGGGGGGAAGAGAAAAGTGACATAACTTCTTTGAAATAAACAGGAACATCTGTAAAGATAAAACTCTAAGATCTGGGAACAAAAACTGTATGTGACAAAGTGGAGCACCAGCAGAGATGCGGAAGACAGGAGAAAAGAAAACGAAGCCAAGGCTGGCTGCCGGAATGATCTGCTCCTGTGTGTTTATTATTCTTTGACATTTAAAGCTCTGGCAATTTTTCTTTCTTGTTCCTTGCATTCTTCCTTCTTCCTCTGTTTTCAGCAACTTTTTAGGGAAAAAATGAAGTCTGATGACTTTGAATTGAATTATGTGTGCTGACCTCATGCTGCCTTCTTCCTCACCTTTCATTTTGCTTCTACAAGCACTGTCAACATTCTCCCTAAAAACAATGCCCTTGACTTTCTTAAAATAAACATGCTACCAAAAGAGAATCTCTTCTTATCAAAAAGGAACAGAACAAATAGTTACCACAATCCTTGCAATTACATAGTTTTCCTTTTTCACTTTACTGTTATCAGCATTTCATTCCCTGCCATCTCAGATGTTTTACCAGCTATGTTCTGACTGAGGTCTGCTCTTACGGGCATTGTCAACTTTGATTCGCTCCTTAGATAAAGTCCTTTGTAAATTGTGAGGTTATAAGCCAATGGAATTTTTTTTTTTTTTTTTTTTTTTTTGAGAGACAAGGTCTGGCTCTATCGCCCAGGCTGGAGTGCAGTGGCATGATCTTGGCTTACTGCAACCTCCACCTCCCAGGCTCAAACTATCCTCCCACCTCAGCCCCCTGCATAGCTGAGACTACAGGTATGCACCACCATGCCCGGCTAATTTTTATATTTTTCGTAGAGACAGGGTTTCACCATGTTGCCCAGGCTGGTCTTGAACTCCTGGACTCCAGCCATCCACCGGCCTAGGCCTCCCAAAGTGCTGGGATTACAGGCGTGAGGCACAGCGTCAGGCTTCTGATGTAATTTTTATTAGAATTATTATCACTCATAATTATTTAAGAAATTTCCACTGCTCTCCCCTGTCATTCCTTCTTAGATTTATAATCTGAGGTTTGCCAATCAGTGACTCTTGTGGCCTCCCAGCTGTGTGGTTAGAAGGCACAGGCCTGGCGTCAAGAGAATAGAAATGTTACCGCTCCTGATACATAAACGTGGGTGTGTGGGAGGGGCCCCAGTTACCCTTCCTCTTTCCTTGTTCTTGGGCTTCCTGTTTCAATCACTTTCTCTCCTGGAAAATGGTGGCCAAACCTGGGGGCAGAGAATGAGAGGCAGGGGTGGAATTCTCCAAGGGCAGAGAACTGGCCCTGAAACTGGAAGCCTGGGGAACACTTTTCAGGATTTTAGAAATAAGAAGTCTGAAATCCTGCAAATGGGCTACAAGGTCAACACAGAACTGAGTCCTGCCAAGGAGCCCAAATTCTCTAGCTATTAACTTCCAAAAAGGCATGGGATATGCTTCCATCAAGCTATTCCTTGCTTATGAGTATTTTTGTTAATTTTCCTAGTATTCATCAGTAATACTGATATTGTTTTGACACTGGGTTTTCAAAGATCTGCCTGTTTTCTTCTCTCTTCATATTCAGTTTTGCAACTTAGGGTATTGGCCTACCATATAATCGGTAGTGGTTGAGTCTTGCCAATTTATTCTTCTCCGTATCCATTCCTTAATGACTGTGAGATATGGCTTCAGTGTCCCCTATAATAATTCAAGTTGTTTTTATTGCATTCTTGGCATGTGTAGTACAACTTTTGTGTTTTCATTACCAATTATTCTGGACACTGATTAACATGTAGTTGTCAATCTCCTATCACCTTGATGTCTTTAAAACACACAAACCACGTCAGAGACCTAAGTACTACATGGGCTATATCTGTTCTTGCCATCTTAATTGGCTACCAATCAAAGACGTCAATAAAAGCATAAATGTAAATGAAAACTCTTGAGCTAGCCCTGGTTTTTAACACCAATTTTTTATGATGGATTCACAGGTGAATAGTTTCCCTTCTCCACCAAGACTTACATTATTAGAACTGTAAGAGGCAGCAAAAGTGTTAAACAGGATGGATTGTACAAAGCATTAGGCTAAAACTGGATATTCATTTTCTGCGTAACTGAACAATGGCATAAAACCAGTGTCTTGGGAAGTCTAGAAGAGCAGTCATTCTGCTTTGATTTTTGAATCACGTAATTTCAGGATGAGTCAAGTACAGTAATTTCATAGACACATTCCTGTAAATCTGTGACCAACTTCTGAAAAGAATTGCCTAATGTTAACCATCTTTCTCTGGAAAAAAAAAAACAAAAAACAAAAAAAAACCCAAACCCAAAACACACAAAATACCTTCCTTCTTCATATATTAACTTCTATGTAATAGCACAAGAAGAGCTAACATTTACTGTGCCAGGCACTGGTTTTAACTTCTTGTGCATATTATGTTTATTCCTCAAAACAATCCCAGGAGATGGGGACAATCAAGATGCCCCTTTTACTGTAAGCCCCAAATTGTTAAAACACACTGCTCAGAACCACACAGCTGTGAAGTGGTAGAATCAGAATTTGAGCCTAATCCAATTCCAGGGCACATGACAGTGAACTGCCAGAAAGGCAGTTATGTACCTGAATGAGTCCAGTGAAGAGAATGTACAAAACGTACCAAATTCTTCCATTTTCCTTTAAAGAAACTGCAAAGATTTCCCCATAATTTTAGAAGGGGATGACATTCAGAAAAATGCTTTCTTTCTCTTTCTGTGTTTCAGAATATCTAAATTGACTCATTTCTAATCTTTAAAATTTGTACATTTCACACCAGGAAAGACAGTCAAAGAAGGGAACATTTTATTCCCAACTGACATTCTGGGTTTAAATATCCTTTGCAACAGTTTTGTTTTGAAAGATCTCAGTGGTTGCATATGAACCTGCCAGATGTCAACAATGTGTCTGCTGTGTACAATATCCCCCAAAGACTAAAGATACTTCTTGCTGATATAGTATTTGGAAATAACTGGCAAACATCGTGGACCTGCAGCATCACTAAGTGTCTGTGTAAACACCTCTGAAACAACAGATGTTCTGAATTCTTGTTCCCTTGGAATAACAAAATGACTTGCAGGGAGCTGATGTTCCCCTCACTTTTCCAAAACAATTTCAGGAAGAATCCGTGAGCTCTCAAACTCAGATCAGCTTCAGGTTCTGGAATCCACCTGTGGCTACTGGCAGTTTTTTTTTGCAGGTGTTTGCCCGTGGGAAGCTGTCAAGAATTGGTCTAAATCAGGGCAGAGCTCCTGACAGAAGGATATTAACCAGCAGGAACTCTTTTAGGTGTCAGAATTTCTTTCTGGGACACAGTCATATAGGTGGGATCTGTACTCAAAAATAAGTCAGTGATGGGGACAGCAGAAAAGTCTGTGCTTGAGCCGTTTAGGCAGAAGAAGGGTTATCTGGAAATGCACAATGATGAGACACGACACATGACAGGGGACAAGAGAGATGCCCAGTGGTGCAAGTGAGCGGCATTTTGAGTTAGTTCGAGGGAAGAGAGGGGAAATTTCAGGAAGTCAGACCCTGAAAGGTGAAGGAAATGACACTGAATATGAACAAATACAGATCTGTGGTTTGAATTGCAAGCTTAGTCATAATAATGATCATCAATACTTTATAAGCATTTTGCAATTTCCAAAGCCTTGTTAGGTGCATCGTATCATTTTAACTGATTAGGAACCTGAGAATCAGAAATGGAACCAGATCTTGAACCCAGAAAGGGGAAGACAAGAAAAAGGAGCAAAATGAAAGGTGATCTTCAGGTTTTCCCTCTGAAACTAAAGGCATGAAAAAAAGAGTAGGGTAAAATGGCTTAACATAAAAAAAAAGACCAAGCCTGACGTGAAATGAGACATACTAATTTCATGAAGATATACACAGATAGATAACGACTCTGTCTACAACAGAGCCCTGTAGTTCTGAGAACAGGCATTTGATGCAGTCAAAAGACCCACATTCTAGACTTGGATCAACAAATCACCCACTGTGTAACTTTGGCAATGTCATTGAATATATCCAAGCCCAAGTTTCCTGATCTGCAGAATTGGAGTAATAGTGAGGTAGGAGATGTGCAGGACCTGTTTTCTGGTCACAACCCTGCTGACCAAAACAGTGTCTGGATAAAACGGGATGAAGTTAAGACACCAGTGGAAACCAGCAGATGTGACAAAAGGCATCCCTAGATGCTCTCATTGCTTGTTAGCATAAGACACTCCCACCAGCACCATGACAGTTTACAAATGCCAAGGCAAAGACCCAGAAGTTACCACCCCTTTCCAGGGCAACAACCTGGAAGTTACTGCCCCTTTCCCAGAAAGTTCTAAACAATCTGCCCCTCAATTTCCATTGACCCACCCCTTAATTTGCATGTAATTGAAAGTGGGTTTATAGGAGTATAAATACCATTGCCAAGTAGGACTTAGTGTGTTGCCTATGAGTCAGCTGTGCTCTGCAAGGAGCAGCACTGTTCAACAAAAGATTGCTCTCTCACACCACTGGCTTGCCCTCGATTTCTTTCCTGAATGAAGCCAAGAACCCGCCTGGGTTAAGCCCAGCTTTGGGGCTCACAGTCCTGCATCATCAGCATCTGCCTTCCACCATATATGTGAATGTGCTTAGCATTAGAAGCTAGGCAAAAATACTAGCTTAAAATGATAATCAGATTCCTCTTAATCAACCACCTACAAGTGTCTGTGAATATCACAAATGCAAGTACTAAGATCTCCATGAATTAGATGGTCCAGTTGTAGAAGTAAGGAAGATTAAAACTGAGTGGTCAGTTTGTGGACCTGACATTGGAAATTAAGTATTTGAACTTCTGATCCCTGGATCTTTCATCAAAGAAAATCAATCATTTAAACAATGTGTTGGCCAGGCGCAGTGGCTCACCCCTGTAATCTCAACACTTTGAGGGAGACCTAGGTGGGAGGATTGAGGCAGGAGGATCACTTTAGCCCAGGAGTTTGACACCAGCCTTTGCAACACAATGAGACCCCGTGTCTACTAAAAATTAAAAAATTAGCTGGGCGTAGTGGCTCATGTCTGTGGTCCCAGCTACTCCAGAGGCTGTGGCAAGAGGACTGCTTGAATCTGGGAGGTTGAAGCTGCAGTACGCCATGATTGCACCATTGCACTGCAGACTGGGTGACAGAGCAAGACTGTGCCTTGGGAGAAAAAAATGTGTTCCAAGTCACATAGCCACAAAGGAAGTGAGAGACAGCATTTGACACCAGGACTATCCAAATCTAAAACCTGTGCTCCTGAGGCTACATCCCTGAAAACTAAGAATTGATGTCATTCTTCTTCAGCCTTTATCTACTGTTGATTACAAGGGACCATTCATTTGCAGATAAATATCACAATGCTGTTCTGCCAATATGGGAAGATAGGTTTTTGAGTCAAGACACTGTAAAATCACTCTATGGTTTGCCTTCCTTTATGATAAAAACAGAAGTTCACCTCTGCATTGTGTGCTGAAAATTAATTTCAGTCTTGGTTCATGAGAATTTGACCAGGCAGGGCTCAATGTGTCTAAGATGGTATATACTTAATTTCGATACCATAGTTGAGAGGTGGGGCTGGGAAAAATAGCAATACAGCCAGCAAGCATTTCTTCTCCTTTCACTGATAGTAAATTGCTATACATAATCACGTAACCAGAGGGGATGGCTTAGTGAAGTAAGCTTCAGGTTTGCTAGCCTAGGCTGTTTAAAACCTGAAATTCTAATCCCGGCAGAGTCAGTGCATGACTCTTCATCTCCTTGAGTTTGATCAATTACATTTCATAGATTTTTTATTATGTAAGAGACTCAAATGAGGCTTTAGAACCCAAATCCAGTCTATCTTATGGAGACACTAAATACCTTGTCCTTTCTATTTATCTAAGTATTGAATTTCAGGCTTACTGTTTCTAACACCTCTCTCTAACTACAGTTAGAGAGAAAATTATGTGAAAACTTTTAATTAAGATGAGAATCTTTTGGTGAGATAATTCACTGTATCTTTTATATATGTTGATCTGCTAATACTAGTGAAGGAATGGGCCTAGGAAACAGAGGAATCTAACATAAAAAATGATATTAACCACCATTTATTGAATAACTACTGTGTGCTCGGCACACATCATAAATTATCTCATTCAGTCCTCACAGCTCCCTTGTAAGGTAGATATTTCTATACTCAGTTTACAAAGGATTCTAAATGCCATGTCCAAAGTCACCCTAACTAAAGTGGGAGAGCTGAGATTCTGGTATAGATGTGTCTGACCCCAAAGTCCATGTTCCATTTATCTATGCTTCCCTGAAGTTACTGAATATCTAATTAGAAAAATTAGAATGATGTGGGGGAAAGGTACCAAAAATGGAGTTGGAAAGTAAAACCCCAAATCAGCAAGGCAGCAGGACCCTGGGGCTCAAAGGAAAACCTGAGTCACATTGGCAAGGCAGGGTGGCTAATGCCTGTAATCCCAGCACTTTGGGAGGCTGCAGGGGGAGGGTAGTTGGGGCGCAGAAGTTCGAGACCAGCCCAGGCAACAGAATGAGAT
Source organism: Homo sapiens (assembly GCF_000001405.40). Taxonomy (NCBI): domain Eukaryota; kingdom Metazoa; phylum Chordata; class Mammalia; order Primates; family Hominidae; genus Homo; species Homo sapiens. The sequence goes on along the minus strand of NC_000010.11, from coordinate 10,973,759 downwards.
GTCATCTCTACAAAACATAAAAAAAATTAGCCAGGTGTGGTGGCACATGCCTGTACTCTCAGCTACTCAGGAGGCTGAGGCGGGAGGATGGCTTAAGCCTGGGAGGTTGAGGCTGCAGTGAGCTATGACTGAGCTACTGCAGTCCAGCCTAGGCATTTGAGTGAGACTTTCTGGGTCATGCTGTTGTGTATTACATCAGGGCTATCTTTAAAGAGCTGGCAACTGGTCCTCCCACTCACGCCCTGCCTCTTCCACATGGTGAGTAGGCAGGCTTTTAAGCGTGGTCTGCAGGAGAACCTGGCATGGGTGGGCGTGAGGGGTATAACACTCTAAAAATGCCACAAAGCTCTTACACTTAGTGAAATCTTGCCTCTGCTGAGGTGGGATGTCAGGCGTGGGGTGCTGGGACCCAGGAGTCATATCCCCTAAGAGTATGTGCTGCTGCCCTCTGCTTTTTTTGTTTTCTGTTTTGTTTTTTTGAGACAGAGTCTCCCTCTGTCCCCCAGGCTGGAGTGCAGTGGTGTGGTCTCGGCTCACTGCAACCTCTGCCTCCTGGGCTCAAGCGATCCTCCTGCCTCAGCCTCCCAGACTGCAGGTGCACGCCACCAAGACTGGCTAATTTTTTATTTTTTAGTAGAGACGAGGTTTTGACATGTTGGCCAGGCTGGTCTCGAACTCCTGACCGTGAGTGACCCACCCGCCTCGGCCTCCCAAAGTGCTGAGATTACAGGCGTGAGCCACCGTGCCCGGCTGCCTTCTGCTTTAACTATTCTCCTCAGGGTTTCACATTCTTTGCCATTAAAAACATCTCGACCCTCCCTTCACATCTTTCCATCTATCATGTGATCATCCTGTTGTGCCTTCGTTGTAGTGCTGATGATGTAGGGAGGGAAGACACAGGCAAAATCTACCATGTCCCCATGTTTTCTGAGGAAGGTAGCTCTCTGAGGGCCACTCATGGATATTGTGTATTTCAGAATAGGAACAGATCAAAAAGGAAGGGTGTGAGTGGACGTGACCTTGTGAGTTGGAGGCTCGTTGAGTTTGAAGTGCCCCAGGAGCAGCCAGGTGAGGAGGCAGAGGAGAAAACTGGATATGTGCACCTGAAGGACACAGCAAGGTCAGTCATGGAGACCGGGACTGAGAATCATCAATATGTAGAAGACGGTTGAACCCGTAAGAGAGATGAGCTCAGCCAGGGAGTAAATATATAGAAAGAAGAGCAGTGGGTCAAAGCAGAAAGCTGAGAAATACCAAGAGAAAGGAGAATTACAAGGACAGATGTAGGGGGAGAACCAGGAGACGAGAGGGATGGGGAAATCAAGTTTGAAGAGCAGCATTTCCCAGAGGGAATACCCAGAGGATATTCCTAGTTTTAAATAAGATGAGTTTTCCAGGTTAAAGCAAAACAGCTTGCTAATTTCTATTGTGAATTTTTACAGGGGATGATGATATGTAGAGCTTCCTAAAATCATTTAACCACAGAACTCTTCATTTTCTATAAAACCTATTCATATCCTTCAAAAGTTGTGTTCTTTGGTGCATGCTTTGGGATAACCTAGGTAGCGAGTTTCCCTGAATAAGAAATTGTCTGTGAGCTCAGTGCCACAGAGAAATCCAGTATATGAGGACTCCATAAAGGCTAAATTTTAACAATTGCCAAGACATTGATTACCTCTATCAACCAATATTGTTTCAGTGGAGTAGTAAAGATGAACTGACTGAAAAAGAGCAACAGATTCACTAAGAAGAAATGAGGATGGTATATGTGTATCAAAACATCATGTTGTATACCTTAATTATATACCTATTTTATTTTCCAATTATATCTCAATAAAAACAAAAAGAAAAGAAGATGTGAAAAGCATGCATGGGTCAGGCATGGTGGCTCATGCCTGTAATCCCAGCACTTTGGGAGATCGAGGTGGGTGGATCACCTGAGGTCAGGAGCTCGAGACCAGTCTGACCAACATGGTGAAACTCCATCTCTACTAAAAATACAAAAATTAGCCAGGCACGGTAGTGGGTGCCTGTAGTCCCAGCTACTTGGGAGGCTGAGGCACAAGAATTGCTTGAACCTGGGAGGCACAGTTTGTAGTGAACTGAGATAGCACCACTGCACTCCAGCCTGGGCGACAGAGCGAAACTCTGTCTGTAAACAAAACAACAACAAAAACAAACAAACAACAACAACAACAAAACCATGCATGTGGATGACTCTTTCCAGAAACTTGGGTTTGAAAGGAAGGACAGGCACATAGGCTGGTAACTAGGGTGGGTGCAGCATGAGTTGGACATCTCAGGATTGGCAGAGCATTTTGCAAATTTATAGGCTGGATAGAAAAAGCAAGTGAGCGAGCGAGAGAAAGAAGAGCCAAAAATGTATAAGGTGAGGGGGGTTGAGGTGGAAGCGTACGTGCTCAACAGAGGCACTGAAGCTATGGAGAGGAACCAAGAGTAAGACAGAATATGGGGTGTGCTTGTATAAAAAGAAAGTAGCTGTCTATGAGAACTCAGAGGAGCAAGAGCTTCACACTAGTTGGGAGGACAGGGCAGAGCTCCTTCCAAGAGGCAGCCTTTGACTTGGACCAGGAAGGAGCAGCCAGAGAAGCAGATATGACAAGGAGGCAGGGAACGAAAGCCACTCCAAAGGGATGGGAGCCCAAGGAGAAGGAGTTGAGAGAGGCTAAAAAACAGAGTACACCCAAAAAACAACTTTTAGGATCGGAATTCTAGCACTTTTCACTTTTAGCTATTATAATACTCCCTTCATTCAATGTCATCAGTTCCATGGGATAGGATGTCTAATTGACTATGGGATTTTTTTTTTTGAATTTTAAATTACTTGACTTTCTATATCTCAACTTACACAAAGAAAAGAAAACAAAGTTTTCTTTTTCTATCCAAAAAAAGAAAAGGAGACTAATGAAACACACAGTCTACTTTTGGTGAATTGAAGAGTGTAATTAGACAAGTCAGAACAAACCCAAATCCTGTAGATAAAAAAAATTACATGTTGCTCATTTTGCTAATTTGGAATGAAGAGGTGAGTCAAGGATTTCTACAAGACCAGGATCTGGAAAGAAAATGAGAATTGTTATCAGTGATTACTGTTTACCATTTAAAGATGTGAAATAATCAGTGCTTTGGGTAATATTTTAGAAACAATTATTTTAAAGGTTTTGCAGGTCTGTGCAATTCAAAGCAAGAACTCACTAGCTATCTCTTGGTTTTGGAACAAATGTGAATACTGGGATTTAGATGCATCCAAAGGACATTTCTACAGACCATTTCTGTTCTAAGCAGGCTGCATCAACAAAAGCTTTTCGATGGGTTTCCTCTTTAACATTCCACTTTAATCCTTCAGCCAATCATATTAAAAAAAATCACACTGGCTGGGCTTGGTGGCTTACACCTGTAATCCCAGCACTTTGGGAGGCTGAGGTGGGCGGATCGCTTGAGGCCAGGAGTTCAAGACCAGCCTGGCCAACATGGTGAAACCCCGTATCTCTTAAAAGCAAAAACTAGCCAGGCATGGTGGTGCACACCTGTAATCCCAGCTATTCGGGAGGCTGAGGCAGAAGAATTGCTTGACCCTGCAAGAAGGAGGCTGCAGTGAGCCGAAATTGCGCCACTGCACTCCAGCCTGGGTGACAGAGTGAGACCCTGTCTCAAAAATAAATAAATAAATAAATAAATACATCACACAAATGGAAATTACCCAGTTCTAAAGATGTCATTGTAGTTATTTCCATTAGAAGCCGCCCCCCTCCATGGCTTGGTGAAGCATCCTTGTCTTCCCTATCAGAAAGAGAAAGTTCCTCCCCATCCCAAATTAAGTGTTTAAACAACAAGTATTAGGTAGTACATTGGTAAACTATGACACCAGCACCACCCAACTTCCTATAGATGAAGCAGGACCCTTAAATCTACATCTCTTTAATTGCCACAGACATGAGGGATAAACACCTTCGTTTATGTGGGAAAGGCTTGTATGGAAATAGAGCTCAAGTAACCACACATGACTTTAGATCTATTCTTTTAGGGAATGCATCTATATTTGATATGTATTCTGAGGCAAAGAAACATCCAGACCATTCCTTCCTTTATGTGTAGTGCCTGAATAATAAGTGTGCACAATGACAGAGAATGGGGAAGGGGAGAGGGAGGGGAGGGAGAAGGAGATAGAAACAGGGAGAAGGAATGCAATATTGTGTGTATCTTTGTATGTGTAGCACAACGGGGATGTTTATAGTTTATTTGTTATTGGTATGTAAACTAAAGAGACAGACTAATCTACAATTAATCTACTTAAGGGCTAAGTCTCCATTTCATATGATAAAATATGCCTTCTCCATCTACTGGAAGCCCTTCCTAGTCACAGTTCTTAGAGATCACTCACCCCTGATGTTTCTCCTTAATGCCTACCCCCAACCTGTGACTTAGTGGAATTCACTCCATACTTTTTGGGGTTTGCCCAAGTCCCACTTATTTTTTTCAGACTTTTTAAAGTCTTGCTCTGTTGCCCAGGCTGGAGTGCAATGGCACAATCTTGGTTCATTGCAACCGCCGCCTCCCAGGTTCAAGTGATTCTCTTGCCTCAGCCTCCTGAGTAGCTGGGACTACAGGCACATGTCACCACACCCAGCTAATTTTTGTATTCCAAGTCCCACATTTTGAAGTTGTCCCCAGATACTCTTGTCATAATCATCATCGCAATCATAATCTTAGCTGTTATCCCTATCAGAAAAAGCAAGGTCTTTGTTCATCCCATTTGCACATTATTAGAACTAGATAGTGCATTTTCATTTTGAACAAGAAAAAAAGGCCTGTTATTCTTAGAGTCATTATAACTTATTATTCATTTTAGCTCCAGTCATTAGAAATGTATCTCCTTAAACATCATGAATAACAACTTTATCCATAACCATAATGGTTTGACCTTTAGTCTATGGATTCTTTGCCAGGAAAAGTAATATTGAGCATGAAGCAATGGTCCCACCACGATAAATGAATGTTTTTTTTTTTCTTTTCACCACTTTTAGTAAAATCCATTAATATACTCTTATCTTTGCTATACATTATTTTAAGCCCATAAGAACACAGAGTGAAGTGCAATACAATTAGAATACAATGCACATATGTCCTTACTGGAATCTTTATATTAGTTACGCTTTTCAAAAGTCATCTAAAAGAAACCCTGCTCCCTGTACACTCCCACTTCACACAGACAGCAATAAAATATACAATACTCATTGGGTTTTAGAAACAATAAGTGCTCATTTCTCCATTTCGACAACAGGAGAAACAGAAAGCAAATTATTTACATAATTTAAAATACAGCATGATATACGCATATTTAACTTTGGGAACATTGCTAGGTGGCAGCTGGTATTCTAAACATCATCACGCATTCCACCCAGTGGAATGGAACACAGATTGTTTATAGAAAATGAAAAACTAGGTGCTCCAAATTTACAAGCCAAGAATTTTTTTCTGGGTCAAAACAATAAACATTTTGGCAATCATGAACAAAAAAAAAGATGCGCTGTCAATTCTTGATGATTTAGCAGAGTTGGGGCTCTTTCCCAGCCCTCCCTTATCAACTCTGGTGGCCAACCCTGTGCGTTTTGTTGACCTTTCTATAACCTCTGAGAAAAAAGTGAGGACTAGACAGTTCCTGTTGCTCCTTCCCAGTTCTTAAAACCAACCCAGAGGGGCTGGGTTGAAACTCTAGGCTTAAAGTACAGATTTCAGGTCCTGTTGGATTTTAATAACTTACATTTTTTTCTCCCTCAGTACTAGAGATAATAAAATGGGGTGTGTGTGTGTGTGTGTGTGCTTACCTTAATAACTCATATTACAGCATCCCCATTGCAAAGCACAACTGTTAGGTTTACATTTGTCCCAAGACACTTCGGCTATCTGTCTATGTGGAGGACATACCCTTGGCCGAACTCCAGTCATGGCTGACCCAGGGCCCCAGCTGCTGGGCTCTGAAATCCATCAGTGTATTTGCTCCCAGGTCTTGCTTCCCACTGGGAGCTTCCAGCCATTGATTGAAGGTGGCAGGAACACTAAGGCAGGCCCGTTCAGCCCGAGGCCCCTCCAGCAGCCTTGCTGTATGTTTCTTAGGCTGCACGGCAAACTAGGAGGCTGGCGCCCACCTTCCTGCACTCAGGGTCACACATGTATTGTGGCCTCACCACCCTCCCCGCCTTTTCTGGCTCCCACCCCATTTTCTCATACAGGCATTTCCCCCGAATGAAATCCTTGCATGTTTATTTCCCTCTCGATGCCTACTTCTCAAAGTACTGGGACTAACACAGTCTGTAATTCTATGTGAAAATGAGGAGTAGGAAAGTGTTCAGTCAAGCCTAGTCTAAAGCGGCCTCCTTATATATTTTAAGTTCAGCCTAAAAGTTTCTCCTATATAGTGACCTCTAACCTAACCAGATGTGTAAACAGACTGGAACCTACTCTCGTACCAACCATTGAGTTTCAGCCCAATCCCAGGCGGTCACCTGTTCAAACTGTTCAAATAAAGCAAATGCCCAGCTGTCACCCAGCCAGCTGTCTCTGTGCCTCCCTCCCACGTTCTGTAGGTCATTTTCCTTTTTCTGTCCATAAACACCCTCTGACCACGTGGCAGCACCGGAGTCTCCGTGAACCTACTTTGGTACTTTTGTTCGTGGGGCTGCCCGGTTCTCGAATTGTTCTTTGCTCAATTAAACTCTGTTAAATTTAATTTGTCTAGAATTTTTCTTTTAACAAGGGTATGAATTGGTAATCAATGAAATCCATTCAGGCATTTCACTTCAAATAACTCTTCTGGTTCATCCCAAACTATTCCAGTCAAGTGGCTACAGGAATTCGTTTTACTTTCTGATTTGCTGGTAATGATTGCTTTCTTCACCTGTCCCTTACCTCACAATGATAGAGACCTTACTGGTGACCTGGGCTCCGGGGCACGGGGATACAGGACTGCTGGGAACTCACTGACTTACTGTAGTGATTCAGGCCAGCCTCTGGTTTCCTTATCCTGGTCCTCTCATCATTTAATGCCCTATCCCCAGATATTCTTCTCTTTCTCGACATGAAACACCTGCTCAGCTCCAGGCATTTAGATTTCCTCCAGAAAGGAAGGAGAATGTGTGTCCCAAGCACCATCTTTATCAGCTACAAATCCTTTGCAAATCTTCATAAAAAAGGAAAATGGTAGGGTTAGAGTATGGTAGGAAGCCCAGAGGAGAAGGTGGGAGAGGGAGCAAAGCTGTAGTTGCCAAAAGCTAAAATATCCAAGCAGGACTGTCCATGCCTGGAACTCCGGAAGCAAGAAAAGACATTAATAGAGAAAGAGATCAAAAATATCCTCAGCCATTTATATTACAGGGCACACAGCTATCCCCGAGCTCTTCAGCTCCACTGTACCACACTCATTGACCCAGCTCTGGAAGAAAAGCAGCATTGGAGTCTCCCCAGTCACTAGCTAACAAAGGGAGAGGGCAAAGGGGTTGTGTGAGTGGGCTTTGTAGGAGGCAGGACTATGCAAGATACACATTCTCAGAGTGCTGCACGTGGACACTGCCTGGACATGCAAAGGAAACTCAAATGTAAGGTGTGTAAACCAAAACTCACCATCTCCTCCATCCCTGTTCTCCTATCTGGGTACCCCACTTTAGTGGGTGGTGCTGGATAGCAGTAAATCCTAAAGTTTTCCCTTTGGAAGCACAGTAAGTAGGGCCCGTGGCAATATTAGAAATATTTTGTGTTAGGGAGACACTTGTGACCATTGCTTGTCACAGTCATTCTATGTATGGCAAAACACACTTGAGTTCCAAACATCAGATTCCAAATACACTGTGGAATATGATCCATTCATAAGTTGGGTAATAACTGTGCTAATGATGTGGGATACAGCCTCATTTAGAAAATTATTATTATTCTCATTAATCAGTTAAAGTTATTCATTCATAGCCTGATATATTTGGAGCTCAGCTTGGGTTCTTTTAGGTCTTTTAACTTGTGGGTTTAGCATTGAGTTCCTTGACTGTATTTGGTTCTATGAATAATATTTTGTGCTCTTATATCCCACTTTAAAATGGATAGAAATCTTAAATATCATCAAATACAATTTGGATGATATTTATTTGTTCTAATGATTCTCAAAGTGTATTAGCATCACCTGGGAATCATTAGCAATGCAGATTTCAGCCTCATTCCATATGACTACATCAGAAACTCTGGGGTTCAGGCCCAGAATTGAATTTCAACAAGACCTCTAGGTGATTCTAATCCATGCTCAAGTTTGGGATCGAATGTATCTACTATCTTTAGGCCAGGAATTATGTTAATCACAGATCAATTAAAGCTGTTTTAAGTGTCCTACATGTGATTTGTCCCTGGGGAGAATCCAAAAATAGCCTCAAGAATGAATTTTGTCTTTAAGAATTTTCAAGCACTTTGGGGAAGCTGACACACATGAAATTAACAGAAAACTGAAAGGACAGTAAGTTATTAACTTACTGTCAAACCATACCATAGGATATTCAAGAGAGAGGGCTATATTCATTGGCCTCTATCAATTCAAGATGTGATTCAACATTTGCCTTACAAATAAATAATAATGATGGAAAGGCAAGATATTCTTCTAGCAAATGAGAAACGAGAGGGAAAGCCTCTTTTCCCTGGACTCTAAGAATTGGGTTGGAGTAAATTGAATTGTATATGTAAATATGCTGTTTTATCATCAGAGACAATGACTGCACAGTTTTTTTCATTAAGCCATGCTAGTATTACCACCGTGAGGGCTAAGAGTTTTTTTCATGTCCAGCTGAAATATTTTCCCATTGACCAGAAAAAAGCTCTTCATAGCTAATTCGTAACTGGCACCGTAAGATCGTGGGATGTGAAAGCATTTTGCAAGTTTAAAATGTTATATAAAAGTTAGATGTTTCTATTATTATTATTGCTTGGTTTAAAGAGCTGCGCTGCTTCTGCATGAGAGGTTTCAGGATTTTGTTGGGTCTAAAGTGGCACTATGAGAAGGTTCACATTCAGTTTAAAATTTTAGAAAATCTGTTTTCTTATTCTTTCTGTAGATGTATCTGAAAATGTACAAGAGAAAATCAAAAGCCCCAGGCTTTCTTCTGCTCTCGAAATGATATTTTTTAAGTTGCTGAAATGACATAAAATAAAATCCCTTTGAAAGGTGGATGGCCTCACTTACAATTCCATAGGCCTGACCTTAAAGTGAAAAAGAAAATAATTTGCTCACTTTTGGTGGTCATTAATTCTTTCAAGTTACAAAAGTACCATTTAGCAAATTACCTTTTTGAAGGCACGAGATGACATCTTAAAGGTCAAAAGTGTTAAAACACCTTCAAAAAGTGGCCAGTTTACCCCCTTAATCACTGATCACATCAGTCCAAATAGCTTCAATTTCTTGAGTGCTGGAGTCTGATAAACATAAACACTTTTAGAAGCATGATCGAATTCACCCTTAACACCATGCTGAGGGTGCAAAAGGGGAGCCTGAGAAAAAGATTCCAGAACTTCTCTTGTAAGGTAAAGGAATCCCATGGCTTTCAAAGGAGAGTTTAACTACAAACTTGTCCAATAATTGCAAAATAGTGTTATCTTAATAGTGCTCTGCTCTTCCTTTTTAATTGACCATGCTTTATAATGCTAATATTGTACTAATATAATATCTATTCTAATATCTTTTTGATTCAGATTTATGTTTTCAGGCTGAGTGGGAGCACATCATATTAGATTTAGATTCTAGTTTATGAAAGAATCCTTCTGAATCTTTTTAGACGGCTGTGAATATGGAGAGAACTCAGGAAATGTGTTCCTGAGGCATCTCCATTGAGGACATAGATGCGTATACTAGAATGGGAATGGGCTGAGAATCCATTGCTGCATCTAGATTTGGATCAACATGGCCATACTGACAATTTCAGGAGGATAAACCCCTCTCTTCACCTTACATGGGTGGCTTTAACTATGAAGGACCCAACTCTGACTTCAATTTGGTACTTTTGCTCAAAAGCCGTAAACTAAATCCAGTTAACAGGCTGCTTTATCATTTTATATATATCAAATATATGGCAGGATGGACCCATAAATACAGGCTCAGGCATAGGGGAGCTATGAAAAGACTTCACACTGTCAGGTGAAAGCAGGGCAGCATGCATTCTCCTCCAATTCTTCACATGCATTTCTCTAGTTTTGAGCATGTGGATTGTTTGTACATGCACTTCTGACAAATTTCACGGAAAGCTCTAACCGTCAGTGGTGAGAGACGTTAAAGGCCCCGTTAAGAAGAGCAGGTTAAAGATGACAGCCTCAAGTGTGAAATATAAGAGAAGATTTTTTTCAGGGTTGAATAAAACTATTTCCTGGCTGGGCACGGTGGCTCATGTCTGTAATCCCAGCACTTTGGGAGGCCAACGTGGGTGGATCACTTGAGGTCAGGAGTTCAAGACCAGCCTGGCCAACATGGTGAAACCTCATCTCTACTAAAAAATACAAAAATTAGCTGAACGTGGTGGCGTGTGCCTGTAATCCCAGCTACTCGGGAGGCTGAGGCAGGAGGCTGAGGCAGGAGAGTTGCTTGAACCCAGGAGGCGAAGGCTGCAGTGAGCCGAGATCATGACACTGCACTCCAGCCTGGGCAACAGAGCAAGACTGCATCACAAAACAAAACAAAACAAAACAAAACAAAACAAAACAAAACAAAACAAAACAAAACAAAACAGAATTTCCTTATGGGGAAATACAATCCATTTGACTTACCAAGATGGCATTGCACGTTTGATGAAAACATGACTCCTAAAGCATAAGCAATATATGGTCACTATGGAAAATGGCCAAGCAAAATGGAATTGACTTCAGCATCAGCTGAGGGTTTGAGTGACCACTGGGAGGCTGGGAAGAAATATCACATTTTTTCTCCTAGTTTTTCCCTGTCACCTCCCTTCTTCCTTCATTTCCTCTCTTTAGTTGCTGAAAAAGACATTTAATTTTTTTAGAGACAGTGTCTTGCTCTAACACCCAAGCTGGAATGAAACAGCCCAGTCATGGCTCACTGAAGCTTCAGACTACTGGGCTCACACCAACTTCCCGCCTCAGCCTCCCAAGCAGCTGGGACTACAGGGGTGTGTGCACCACCATGCCTGGTTAATATTTTTTATTTGTAGAGATGGGGTCTTGCTCTGCTGCTCAGGCTGGTCTTGAACTCCTGGCCTCAAGCACTTACCCAGCCTTGGCCTCCCAAAGTGCTGGGATTATACGTGTGAACCACTATGCCTAGCTGAAGAGGAAATTTCTCGTTATGGTATACTTTGTTTGATACTTCAAGCACAAAAGCCCCTTAGGGCAGAATTCTGGTCTTATCCTATAACAAGTAGTGGCTTTGTGAGTGGCCACAGAAAGCAGAGGAGACAGGGCAGGGAGATGGTGCTGTACCCAGCATCCCATTTGGTTTTGTCTGAAACCTCTACCATGTGGTGCTGTGGTGCTGTGGTGCTATGGCACCTGCGGGTTAGAAATGAGAAAATGAGAGAGGAGAGCCTCCCTCTTTTTTCTTTTCTTTTCTCGTCTTCCTCCTCACCCTCTCCCTCTCCCTCTTCTCTTCTCTCTCTTCTTTCTCTCCCTCCTCCCTCCCTCCCTCTCTCTTTTCTTTTTTTGTAGAGATGGGGTCTCCTATAATGTTGCCCAGGCTGGTCCTGAACTCCTGGCCTCAAGTGATCCTCCTGCCTTGGCCTCCCAAAGTACCGCATTACAAGCATGAGTCACCGCACCTGGCTGTAAGAGGACAGCCTTTGTTAATTTGAGATTAGTTTTTTGGTTTTCATCCATACTTAGGTGGGAAAAAAAGATCTGAGGGAAGGAAAAGGAAAATGTATATCCAGGAAGACAATGAAAGATTAACTTCAGAAGCCAAAATTAAATAATGTGGGAAAGATTTCAAACTTTCTTTTCTTTTTTTTTTTCTTTTTTTTTGAGACAGAGTCTTGCTCTGTTGCTCAGGGTGGAGTGCAGTGGTGCCATCTTGGCTCACTGCAATCTCTGCCCCGTCTCTTGGGCTCAAGCCATTTTCATGTCTCAGCCTCCTGCGTAGCTGGGATTATAGGCGCCCACTACCACACCCGGCTAATTTTGTATTTTTAGTAAAGATGGGGTTTTGCCATGTTGCCCAGGCTGGTCTTTTACTCTTGACCTCACGTGATCCGCTCACCTCAGCCTCCCAAAGGGCTGGGATTACAGGCATGTAAGCCACCGCACCTGGCCTACAAACATTTTTTAAACAAAATCTTCCGTGTTACTGAGACCATTGTTTTAATTTTTAAAACCAAGAAATTCACCTGGATGAGAATATCACCCACTCCTTACTTTAATATGGTAACATTTCACAATACATTTTTAGTTTTTCTCTTCAGGAAGTCAATATCACAAACTATAAATACACAGTGTAATCTTCTGCCAATAAAATGAGGTCAGCTTTCCTTTGGGTCTCCTTTAAAACTTGAAATCATTACTGCATCTTCCTACTCCAAATCCCCTCACCTACTTAAAGAACCTACCTCTTCTCTTTTTTTTAGGAAAAAGAACAACAGATGCCTTCCAATTTCAAATTAATTCTTTGGCCTTTTCTGACCCAAAAAATATTACTTGTAAGAAGTCCGTATTGGAATTCAAAGTGCATTGGGCAGCTGGGGGCTGTGCTAATGAAACAGGGAGAAATATTAAAGCAATGACAGCCGTCTCATCCTCATGTCCTCTTTAACCTTTTAGCCAAAGAGAATGCTGGACTTTGAGAAATTTAGGAGCAGAGAAGCTTCCGTCTAGGGGCACGGCTAGTTACAATGTGACTCTAAATGTGCCTATTGTGTTGAAATGTACAAAGCTAATGCCCAGTTAAAAAGAAAAAAGGAGGCAGATTCTAACGCATACCTATTAGGTTTGCTATAACATGTTAGAATCACCTAACTCTGCCTTGAGCTAAACAACCAGCCAGCTCTGATAAGAAGTCTCTGCTGCCCTGCTCTGTTAGGAAATGGGATGTCGTGTCAAATCAAATACTCTGTTTAATAGAGTGTTATTAAAAATACTGGGTATGCATTACCAATTTGCAAGATACGCAATACAATAAAATACACTTAACACTAAAACAACACTGAACATATTTTAATCTTTCTCCGATGAATCAAGAAATTTCAGAATTTTTTATGGGCTCCAGGTCACCCTGACGAACCTCAGTCTTCACTATGCCCAGTGAAGCATGGTTATATCAACTAATAAATGTTTCTATCTGACAGAATGTTCTAACAACTAGCTTTAACAGTATAATGTTTCTACAGGATGGGTACTGGACCAAAAATGTGAATACCAGTCAGTTGGGAGTTTTTGCCTAGGATGGCAGCACATTCAGTTCAATTCCTGAAGAAGAATGCTGTCTTCAAGTGGTTTGAATGATCAAGAAGACTTTTCCTGCCACAAGGGTGGGTTGCAATGAGGAGAGAAGCACAAGTTGCTTCAATGCCTCCACCTTTGTTCTTGCAGCACTGTTAACAGAAAGCTCACCAGCTGTAATGAGCGGATGCCTGTTGAGTTCCAGTGTCCCCAGGGAGGGGTCTACCACCAAAGAATGGTCGCCTAGGAAGCGTACTATCCGGCTGTGACATCCCAATTGCAGTGTAATGCCATCTTGAGTGGCTGGAGAGTTTGAAAGTCTGTAGCAGGAACCCTGAAAGCTGATGCTTATGTTGATAACCACAGTGCTGGAATAAAAGCATGTTGATGCAAATCTTTTTTCAGTTTTGGTCACACAAGGTGGCAGTGACTGGTGCTAATTGAAAAGGAAAACGATAATTCAATGTTGTAACGGTTCACACCTACCCCATGCTTTCTCATCCAGAAGACATTTTCAACCAGACACATTTTCCACAAAGGGAAATAATCTAAGGTCATTTCCTGTGGGGTATGGGGTCATTCTGTGTCTCTGAAGAGGCCAGGCAATACTTACACGGTGACAGCACCTTCTGCAGAAGGACCAGAAAGATGCAAGGAGGAAAAATAGAATATGCATTTTCTGAAAGCATATTCCATGCTTTGGAAGTAGGGCTGCACTAACCAACATGGGCTGCAGATTCAAGAACATCCCTGCCATCCATGTTTGGTTTTCCATGGTGGACAAGTCACCCAGTTGAAACCTTATCATTCTCCCTTGGAAAATGCATGGAAAAAATTTTTTGAAAGTTGTTTTCTTCTGAGCGGAACTCAAAGTGTTTAAAATGCTGGGTAAATACTTGTGGAAGATGATCAGTCTGTCATTAAAGGGAGTACACCATATATAGAAACTAGTGGCTCATAATAAAGTCTTCCTTACTTTGATAACTGATAAGCACAGATTCCTCATGTGAAGTGCCACAAAAGGCATCAAAATGGATCCAAGACTTTTTTATTTTTCTCTGAGATGGAGTCTCACTCTGTTGTCCAGGCTGAAGTGCAGTGGCGCGATGTCACCTCACTGCAACCTCTGCCTCCCAGGTTCAAGTGATTCTTCTGCTTCAGCCTCCTGAGTAGCTAAGACTACAGCTACCACCATGCTTGGTAGCGTGGTAGCTACCACGACGCTAGGCTAATTTTTTTGTATTTTTAGTAGAACAGAGTTTCACCATGTTGGTCAGGCTAGTCTTGAACTCCTGATCTCAAAAGATCCGCCTACCTCGGCCTCCCAAAGTGCTGGGATTACAGGTGTGAGCCACCGTGCCCAGCCTGGATCCAAGACTTCTTGATACTGAAAAAATGTTTTAGCCTTATCTTGTAAATGTCAACCAAAGCGCCATACATACATACCTTGTGATGTTGTCGTGGCCCTATTCTTTGTTTTCTTTTTCTTTTTTTTTAGAGACTAGGCTTCGCTGTGTTACCGAGGCTGGATTGCAGTGGTGTGATCATAGCTCACTGCAGCTTCAAACTCCTGGGCTCAAGCTATTCTCCTACCTAAGCCTCCTGAGTAGCTGGGACTTACAGGTACTCACCACAATGCCTGGCTAATTTTTAAATTTTTTCTAGAGATGAGTCTTGTTCTGTTGCCCAGGCTGGTCTTGAACGCCTGGGCTCAAGTGTTCGTCCTGCCTGGGCCTCCCAAACCTCTGAGCCACCATGCCCAGCCATCTTTGTTGGTTTTCGAACACAGTTGAGAGGTAGAACACGAGAGGATGCCTCCAAATGAGGGCAGAGCAGCAGCTTTCCAACTCAGAGGCCCTCTGTCACAGTTTCTCCATAATGCTCCACATTCCCTGTGCTAGCTCTGGAGAATCCCAAGTTGGGGTGCAAAATATCTTGGGCAGATGGCTGGGTTTCTCACTTCCCTCTCCCTGACTCCACCGTTTGTTCTATTTTCCCCTTTTAAAATGTGGTTCATTCTAAAAGCAGATGAATTGGGACGCACAGGACTTCTGAGGATAGATCCCAGAGAATTCAGCTGCAAAGCCCAGGAAAAGTGATATTTCTGGGAAAAAGCCAAGCACAGATTTCAGCAAAACCTCTCCCTCATGCTTGAGCAAGTTTTTCTTTCTTGTTGAAACTTGTCAAATTCCCTTTATCCACCCTTCTCTCTAGACAGATGGACAGAGAAGAGACCAATACACGCTTTTAGTCTAAACATTTCTTTGATGAAATAGAGCTTTCTGCTAGACTCACTTACTTACGCCTAAAGAACCACTCACATTTAATTTGCTTACTTCACCCTCCACCTGGTGAAGATTTCATATACATTCCTTAAGTCATAGCGCTCCTCTGAAACACATAACAAAAATGGTGACATAAAATGATTTTCTTCGAAACAATCTGAAGTGATTCAAGTGCTTAGTTTCATATCATCTCACCATGGGATGGTGAGAAGAAGACTTAGCAGAGAATGTGATCCCAATTAGGAAGATGGGGAAAACCGATGAAAAACGTGGTTTGTGAGTTAAAGGGCCCGTGTTTGTCCTGACTTTCAAACCAGTTTCTGTTCACCAGCTACCAACTCTTTTGAAGACATGTGAGCAAGGAGAAGCTGGAGAATTTGGCCAATTATGAGTCATTTTACTACATCGGGAGCACAGAAGTGATCCTGAACGTGTTCTTCAGGTAAGAGGTTGCCCACTGACTTTGACCTCTCTGCCCTCTATCTAGGGAGAGGGGAGGGATGGGGAGAAAGAAAGACTGAAGCAATCGATGGAACAAATGCCTGGTGGTCTGACGGTTGTTTAAAGTAGATCCTGGTTAATTCCAGTAGGGTTTCTTCTGGCCTTAGCTCACATTGCCTCACAGGTGAATCAATTCATCCTCTTACATTCAAACAGAAGGCATCTGAGATCATCCTTCAGCGAGAGCGAATGAATCCCAGAGGAGACACATGCACAAAGAGAATGTTAATTCAATCACAGCGCTAATGTACCATTACCTGTAATGTACTTCTTTCAATAACTTTACCAGCACCTGAGGTCATATCTAAATACATAAATCGGTTTGAGTGAATTAGTGGGAAACTGGTTAAATGGTAAAGAGACTAAGACTTATTTGCGGAAATGTCAGGAACTCCAGAGAGGCACAGCAAAGAGAGGATTAGAGGAGAAGGTGGCTGCCTCTAAATACTTCCAGAGCTCCCTTGTGCAAGAGTCTACACTTGATCCTGAAGTGCTTAGATGTCAGAGGTGGGGCCACTCATTGGAGTTATAGGAAGCAGCGTTAGGCTCATTCTAAGAGGACCTGAAATCAAGGGCAACCCACTTTGAGCAAATCACTTTTTTTTCTTTTTTTTTTTTTAAGAGACGGTGTCTTGGTCTACCGCCCAGGCTGGAGTGCTGTGGTGCAATCATAGCTCACTGCAGACTTGACTCCCTGGGCTCAAGTGATCCTCCAGCCTCAGCCTCCCAAATAGCTGGGACTATAGGTGCACACCACAACACTCAGCTAATTAAATTTTTTTTTCTTTTTGTAGAGACAGAGATCTTGCTATGTTGCCCAAGCTGGTTTTGAACTCCTGGCTTCAAGCAATCCTCCGGCTTGGCCTCCTAAAGCACTGGGATTACAAGCTTGAACCACTGTGCCCAGCCAGCAACCCACTTTTGCGGGTCCCTTTGCATATGGCAGTTCCCTGAATCACCTCAAAGACCTGTCTAGTGGGTATTATTTAACACTATGGTAGAGAAGTTAACAGTGAGGTTCAGAGAAGGTAAGAAAGTGCTTTGGGTCACAATGCTTAAAAGCAGCAGAAACAGGATTAGATCCAAGTCTGGGCTGCTTCCAAAATTGTGGCCATCTGATGGCCTCCACCCAGGATAAAATAACTGCTAAAAAGGGAGAGAAATATGCAAGCCAATAAAGTACCTGGAACACTTCCCCCTCGTGACAGGAAAGCATTTTCTCCAGAAAAGCATTTTAAAGCCCTAACATTTTGATTATGGCACTCTCTTGAAGAAATAGAGCAGAGATACCATAAGCTTCCATTCTTCTTTCTTTCACTTCTTATTAAGGGTAGTTTTGTGGCAGCAATAAAGGAAAATAACTCAGTATCGACATTCAGTAAGCTCCCCATCAAACTTAGAGGAGAAACAGAAGAAGGATGTTGCTATAAAAATATCTGTAAACAGACCCATCCATATAAGACGAATTTAAAAGCCAGGGCAAATGGACTCTTGGTTGCCCTTTCTTCTCCATTTCTTTGTAACAAGTGTAATCTTTCCTGACTTAAGTCTGAACAATTCCAAATGATGACTTGATTTGCAGTGATCGACCTAGCAGGAACCAGGGGGCTCGGGTTAGTGTTTAAACTATTGTGGTCGGGCATGGGATGCTAGCAAGTCGCTTTGCCTCTTGGAGCTTCCGTTTCCTCTTGAGTAACTTGAAGGGACCCCTGTGATGCCTTTGACCTCAACCTGCATGAACACAGAATCTTCCTACAACAGTATCCTAGTGTCTGGTTCTTGTCTTATTATTGAAATTGCTGTATATAAGAGGAGTGGGTGGCTAAAAATACAGTATGATGAATCATGGTTCTGGGGGCAGACTATCTGGGTTTAAATTTCAGCCCCAGCTCACTTTACTCGCTGTGTGACCTGGGCGCAGTATTCAAACTCTCTAAGCCTGAGCTCCTGCATCCATGAAATGGTTATAGTAACAGTACCTACTCCACACAGGTGGCTGACGGTTGAATGAGTTCATACGTCGAGAATGTGTGCTATTATGGCTTCATTGTGTAGCAGTGGTTCTGAACTGTGTTTCGGGCTCACTCAAGGAGCTCTGAGATAACCATATGCAAAAGCTCTATTTCATGGGGTCAGATTCAATAGATCTGGGTTGGGCTTCAGGAAGCTGCAAAGTCCCTGATGCACAGCTAGAGGTGAAAACATCAGTCATCAATTCACATGAGGCCCCCAAAGGCAGGCGAGGCATACTCGCACTGTGTGGTTGAGTGGGAAGCACACACACTTTAGTTCCAGAAAGACATGAGTTCAAATACCGGCTTTGCAATTTCTTAGCCACGTGGCCTTGAGCAGGTTACCTATTGCCTCTGAGTTTGTTTTCTCATCAATAACATGGAGAGAACACCATCTTTCTGGCAGTTGTTGTGAGGTTTAAAGAGAGGTGAATGACAAATTTAAAGCCCTAGCAGGCAATCAATAAATTATACTTTAAAAAATACACATTTAACCTTACACAGATTGCTCAAACCAGAAGGAAAGATCACAGAAATAAAATTGCTAAGCTATTTGGAGCCTTTGAAATAGGCAGTTGACCTAAGAACTGTGGATTATGATTTATCTTTTTAAAACGATAAATGCATGAGCATATTATTTTTTTCTCCCTTTGGAACAAAAGATATAGCATATTTATGTATTCTTTGCTATATGCTGCTTTTTAAAAAAACTCAATCATATGTCTTATGGAATGTTTTCAAATCAGTAAAGAACATCATTATTTTTACTTTACAGAATCATAGTATTCCATTGAATTGATGGTTCATAATTTAACAAGTTCCTTATTGACAGGTGTTGAGGATGTTTTCTACCATTTGCTTCTACAAACGGTGCAGGATTAGATAACTTTTAAATAAGTCTTTTCGAACAAATGTGTCTGTGAGACAAATTCCTAGAAGTGGAATTGCTGGATCGGGAAAATGGTACATTTGACATTTTGTTAGAAGTTGCCAAATTGGCCAGGTGCGGTGGCTCACGCCTGTAATCCCAGCACTTTGGGAGGCCAAGGTGGGCGGATCACAAGGTCAGGAGTTCGGGACCTGCCTGACCAACATGGTGAAATCCTGCCTCTACTAAAAAAATACAAAAATTAGCTGGGCATGGTGGCATGCGCCTGTAATTCCAGCTACTCGGGAGGCTGAGGCAGGAGAATTCCTTGAACCTGGAAGGTGGAGGGTGCAGTGAGCCAAGATCATGCCACTGCACTCCAGCCTGGGCGACAGAACAAGGCTCCATCTCAAAATAATAATAATAATAATAATAATAATAATAATAATAATAATAATAATAAATAAATTGCCAAATTGCCCTCTATAGATTTTGTACCAATTTATGCTCCTATCCACAGTGGGAGAGGGGAGGCTGTTTCTCACCCCATCATTTACACAATCTGTTGTCAAATTTTCTGACTTTTGCCAATCTGATCATCAAAAAGTGGTATCACGATGGAGTTTAATTTGCATTTGCTTTATTAGGAGTGTGTGATGCATCTTTTCACATGTTTTAAAATAATTTCAATACCTTTTCCTGTAAAATGATTATTCATACCCTTTGCCTCTTTCTCTATTTGTCTACTAGTATTTGCTATTTTGATTTGTATCAACCCTTGATATATTTTCAATAGCAGGCCTATGAAATAGAGGAATTACAAATTTTTTTTCTGGTTTGTCATTTTTTTTTTTTTACTTTGCTTGTGATGTTTTTGTTCTGTATATTTTAGTTTGCCAAGCAGAATTTCTCAAAATGTAGCTGAATTTATCTAATTTTTCTCTTACGGCTTTTGGGTTTTGTCTGATGGTTTCAAAAAGGCTTTCCCATTCTGATATCATGAAAGAATTCTCCCATGGTTCCTTCTAAGTTTATTATTTTGTATTTTTCATTTAAGTCTTTGATCCATTTGAAATTCATCCTGGTGGAAGGTATGGCTCTAACTTCTTTTTAACTGGGTGAATTGTATTTTTTTACACTTAGAGAAGAACAATATACAAGAAAGTGTAGGTAGGATTTATAACAGCAGTCTTGAAGATTTCAAGCAAAGAGAAAATGAACAATTATTCTTGTTAGATAACTTCAGCAGCTAAATTTCTTTTGGGTGTGAAAGCACACTCAATATTCTTCTCCCTCTCCTTACCAGTTGTCACTCATTTACCAAAAATATTAATCTGAACAGTGAATTGAGCTAAAAATTATAGATGGTAATTATAGATGGTATAGAGTGAAAGTTTCTGAAATGACATGAGTGATGGACTGTATTTTCCTCCCTTGCCACGGAATTCTCTTTTGTGGGCATCCTATCTCCTTGATTTTCAATGCTTTAAAAGCCTCAATGCAATAACAATATAATCATAAAAGCTAATTAGTAAAGAT
The DNA here is from genome assembly GCF_000001405.40 of Homo sapiens. NCBI lineage: Eukaryota > Metazoa > Chordata > Mammalia > Primates > Hominidae > Homo > Homo sapiens. The sequence goes on along the minus strand of NC_000010.11, from coordinate 10,953,135 downwards.
TTTGTGTCTTGTTAATGATGTACAATTGATTGTGGCTCGAGGACAGAACGAGAGTAACCATTCATCCATGATGAGCATTGCATTTTATCTTCTCACAATGTGAAGGTGATGGCATTTTTATGACTGTGTTTCCATTATGGAGACATCTGAACCAACTCACCAATCTGTTCTGTAGCATCATCTTTTACTACAAGCAAACCTGAGCCCTTTAAAAATGTAGAGATAATTCTGGATGCCTGATTACGGGAGGAATGAGGAAAATTAATTACATATGGACCAAATGGTGAAAAACAGTCAGGCATCATTTATCTATTCTATCTTTGCTTAATTTCCTTTTTCAACTACACTTCTCTCCTATAAGGCCATTGGCCATAATTACATTATACAAATGGCTGATTAAAAATAAACTTAAAGCAGCTCCTTAAATAACTACAATCCCCCACCTCTTTTTTTTTTTTTTTGGACCATCTCATACTCATTAATTCTTTATAAATAAATATATGTAGATAGACACAGACATGCACAGATGTTAAAGTATCTATTTATATAGAGAAGGAAACACCCTGTGGAGACTCTGGGACTTGCCAGGAAAAGCTACTCTCCGGGAATCTATTCTGCTCTAACTTCCTCTCCTGAGTCCAATGGCTGGAAGCCTTCATTCCTGACTTCCTTGCTCGCTCACTGTCTTTCTTCTCTTTTCATAATTTCCTCCTCCACCTCAAGAGGCTCCAGCCCTGAAGCCATGCACGACTGTAGCTCCTATCTTTGGGGTTTGGTCCAATACCCCATTTTTCAAAGGCATGGGAGTCCGGCTCTTTTCAGAGTTGGTCTGGATCACAGAGCTGTGATGAGAAAAGTGCATCATGGGTGCGGAACTTCAGGGGGGAAGGATAATGAGTTTGTTGTGACGTGGTTATTTTCTTAGATCGTACAACCAACGTGGTAATGCTGGCATAATAATTCCCGGTTGCCATTTTCTGACATTTGAAAAGATCTGAAGATACGCCCCTTGGATGCCTGCAGAGAAGCTCTGGGGCTTCAGTCAATGACTCAGGGTAGCCACCGAACATGATGCTCGGGCAGTGGGTGCCACCTGGACTCCACTCTCCCCTCTCTCTGGGATCATAGAGTCCAAGGTGTTCTGTGGCCTCTCGGCCAATCCCAGCAGCTCAGCGTGCAGAAGACCGAGGAGCCATTGGTCAGTGTAGGAGGTGCCTGGAGTTTTGGAGATGGGATCCACAGGTCTCTTCACACCGAACGCCTCTTCCCCTCTTGTGCCAGCTTGATGCTGACTTCAATATGTTTGGGCTGCTGGGCCCATGGGAGGAGAAAGGCTGGGGGTGGGTTGTGTAGGTGGATAGAACACAAGGCATCTCTTTATTTCTTCTCCTGTCTTTCTAAGTAGAGTTTGATTTAAATGGAAAAGCATGAACCTTTTTCTTTCTTCTTTACTCAAGGGCTGGCTCTGATGGGGAGACACTAGGCGAAGTGGAAAGACTGAACACCGGGTGAATTGGGAGGGCTGTGGTTTTCAACCTTTAAAACTAATGTCCTTGGAGGAGTAAAATGGCATGGAGCCATCCTCAGCCACTCAATCACCCTTCCCCTTTGCTGGTGTCTGTTCACCAAACAGAAACTTTTTACAATGAAGGGCTTGAATATTTGATACTATAAAAATCTTTTTTTTGTGTTGGAGAAGGGCCAGGTGTAGTAACTCATGACTGTAATCTCAGTGCTCCAGGAGGCCAAAGCAGGTGGATCACTTGAGCCCAGGAGTTCAAGACCAGCCTGGGCAATGTGGCAAGAACCCTGTCTCTACAAAAATATAGCTGGGTGTGGTGGTGCATGCCTGTGGTCCCAGCTACTCAGAAAGCCAAGGTGGGAGGATGGCTTGAGCCCAAAAGGTCGAGGCTGCTGAGAACTATGATCGTATCTCCAGCCTGGGCAACAGAGTGAGACCCCATCTCTAAAAAGAAAAGAAAAAGGAGGATGGTGCTGAAGTTGAGTTCCGAGTGGTTTGAAGAATTTGTTCTGATGGCTTTGGTAACTGGTTTTTGTAGACGCCAAGTGTCTAGCTAAATAACAAATCATGAAATAGAGGGGTCTGAAATTGGGACAGGAGCTATTTTCATGAGTTACCACAGTCCTATCATGAGAGAATAACCACTACAACATACACACACCACAATGCTCAAATCTGACTGTTCTTAACTTTGACTGCCAAGGTGTTTTCTGTGGAAATTCTCCTTTGGCTCAGCACAGGCCTAGATTTCCAGATGCCAAGGATGACACACTTTTTGCAAGAGGCATTTTGCAGTAGAGGCGTATTTAATACATGCTGATAGCTGCTGCTCTTCTGTCTTAGACACTTTAACTGAACTTTCATATTTTGTACTTGTGCCCCGAGGCAATTTAATCAGGAAAGTTGCAATGCTATGTGCAAAAATGATAAATAAGTAAACGATATCTAATTTCCAAAAGAGGGCAGCAGCAATGGGGAATCGTGGTCCCCAGAGTCCCTCTTCATGTCACCCTCATGAAATCCTTGCAATTCTGCCATTCTTCTATATGTCCCTGAGTGAGGCAGTCCCATGATAAGGCGCTATTAAAGAAATCATACGTATCCCCTCGCACACACAGAATAAAATGAACATTAAGAACGGTATCACTTCCTCCTGCAGTTATCACTATTTATGAGACCATCACACATTTCCTTTGTCTTTATCCAGGTCCCCATGTGAAATCCTGACTCTTTGGAGCCCTTTGCCCCATTTGTTCAGACCCAGACCTCGCTGGGACCACAGAGAGAAGCACATGAGAGTGGCCATTCTCTCACCTGCACCTCCCGTCCTCAGACACACACACTGCACTGGGTTCTTCTTAGTAATGACCTCTGGGGTTCTAGCAACTCCAAGATTCAGAAACCACGGTTCAGGCCCTGGCCCTTTCCCAGTGCAAACTTCCTGCCTGTCTTCAAGAAGACAAGGTCAAGGTAGGGAAACCCAGGGAAGCTGCAAACCCTCAACTCGCCTCTTGCAGCCAGGGGATAAACTCAGGAATCAGGGGAGAGAGGTGTGATGATACATGGTCCCAGGCATTGCCAAGGTAATCAGAGAAGACTGTCAAGCAACCAAAGGTTAGAAAGGGAATGCTGTGCCCTTTTAGCATTGAAAAAGGCAAAGTTCCATCGACCTGAAAAGAATGTGAGTGTCTCAGGTAGACAAAATAAGGGTTTTCAGCCAAAACTGATCCAAGTCATGTAAAGTGAGTTTGAATTTGTAGGTGAGTTTTTTTTTTTTTTTTTTTTTTGGTGTGTGTGTGTTTCGTTTTGTTTTGCGACACAGTCTCACTCTGTTAACCAGGTTGCAGTGCAGTGGTGTGATCTTGGCTCAGTGCAACCTCCACCTCCCAGCTTCAGGTGGTTCTCATGCCTCAGCTTCCCTAGTAGCTGGGACTGCAGGTGCCTGCCACCAAGCCTGGCTAATTTTTTTTTTTTTGGTATTTTTAGTAGAGATGGGGTTTTGTTGTATTGGCCAGGCTGGTCTTGAACTCCTGGCCTCAAGTGATCCATCTGCCTCGGCCTCCCAAAGTGCTGAGATTACAGGCATGAGCCACCATGCCTGGCCTCTGGGTGAGGTTTTTAAAAGACAAAACAAAACTTAATGCATTCCTGCTTGAGAAGCTTCTGCCACCCTCCTCTGCGGCATGATGGCCTCCACCATGGCACTGGGTGTCCCATCTCTCTTATCCACAGTGGTGACGCCAGGTCTGGGGAGATCACTAGAGGCACAGCCCCACTGGAAGCTGTGCCATCCACATGACATGAGTGGGGTTTGGGGACTGATACGTTGCTCCGGAAAGTGCAGGGGCTTTGGGAGTGGCACAGGGATGAAAGGAGAGAGAATATGGGAAGGGGATGCAATGGAGAAAGCTGAGAGGAGGTGGCCTTGGAGACGGAGGGAACACATGTATAGAGGACCCCCTCAAACTCCAGGAAGTCAGACTTCACATGCAAATATCTTCACCCTGAATTTCCCTTCTCTCTCTCAGAGATGGTCCCCTCACCTCCTCCAATTCTCTCTGGGTAAATACTGCTGTCACCTGCTGTTTGTGTGTGCGTGTTCATTTGGGGGAACCTAGGTCCAGGCAGTGTCTGGAACATGTGAAGGAGTTGCTCCTCCTTCTCCACACTCAGGAGCAGGAAACTTACCTTTTAGATGGGTACAGAGACAGGTAAGCGTTTTTGCAGGAAGCCAGAGCCAGCCAATGCCAGCAGCAGAGGAATTCAGACAGGGTTTTGATCACGATAAGAAGGACCATGGAGAGTTTGAAAGACCCCAAGATTTAGAACGTAAAAACATGATAGCCACCGTGCAAGAGGGTCTGCCTGTCTTAGGGATATGGATAGGTAGAGAATGAAGAGGAAGGGCTCAGAGGTTCCGACTATTGTGCAGAAAGGAAACCATGGAGCTTCATGCAAAGAGGCAGCCCTCCCAGCCTAGGGGGGCTTCATGTAGCCTTGGCTTCCTGAACATTCTTGAAGCCTCCTGAAATGTTCAGAAAACAACCAATTTAGCCAAAGGTTAAATTGAAGCCCACAAATTTATATAAAGCTTGATCAAATAGCAGAACATCAAGTCTTAGGCCCAACACAGAAGGTACGTCATCACAAGAGAGGGTGTGGCTTTGACAGCAGCCCCCAAATTTAGAAACCATCCAAACCTTTCCCTCCAGAGCAGGGCGCTCTGGGCCTAGCTCAGAGGACATGCTCCTGAGGCTAGCTATTTTTCTGCTACTACTCTGGCTAAGAGAGACATGTAAGGGCTGGATGTAAACTCCCAGAGGGCACCTCCTGGGCTAGAGAAGATGCAGCATGAGCTCAGGTGGGAAGCAAGGTCTGTGTTGAGATACTGAATACAGGACCAAGAATACAGAACTGGAGGACTATGGGTGAAGAAGGTGCAGACCAGGCTGTATTATGGAAGTGGTTTCCATCCCTCTCTCCATCCATGTGAACTTGCCCACTTTCCAGCTGTATGATCTGATGAGCCCAGGTTTCTGGCAAAATACAGAGGCCCAGCCCCTCTGGAATGTTTAAATTTCTGAATTAAGAAAAGTGGGCACCCACACAGTGTGTCCAAACCTACATCCAGCTTTCTCATTCCCTTGCATGATCTGTACATATCTAACACCCCAAGGGCAATTCTTTGTGATTTTTCTACCATGCTTGGACGTTCTTGCCTCAAGCTCCTATGGGATCCCACCTCTCCTCTGCTGGCTTGCTCCAATACACTCTTCATGAAGACTTTCCTATGGCCCCATACTAGAAGCATTTTCTCTCTCCTCAAATGCCATATTTTTCTTCTGTGGTGAAGATGTGTGTATGTGTCTTCTTACGCTACTCATGACCTTGAAAGCAGAAAGTTGAAGGTATTCAGGTGTCTAGCGGGGATTACACAGTAGGCACTCATCCCCTCATACATTTCTTTATTCTGTAAACTTGAAAGCCAGGCATTGTTCTAGGCACTGAGGACACCGAGGCAATAGGACACTGATTTCCTCTTTCATATGCTTGTTAGGAATTCAACACAACACGAAATAATCAACAAATTCGGGGAATGTTAATCTGACCATCACCAGTTACAAATGATGTTTCATGCTACCTTCTATTCCTGCCTTCATAAATCAAGGTAATTACTTGGCAATCTGGCTATGCCTTGTAAGGCAAAAGAGCTGTTCATTTCTTGTGTCAAATGGTGAACAGGGAGGGAGAGTAAAATGGTAAATAACCCTGCCTCCCATCTGTGCCCAATCAGCTCTAAATCTCCAGGAAAAAATGTGCTCAGGATGGCCAGAGAAATGTCCTTCCAACTGTGCATGGAAAGGTATGATTTTGTGCAGCAGGTGAAGGACTGGTTAGAGTAAGTGTGTGCTGAGCTTTTGTGTTTGAAAGCGAGCCTGTGCACTTCTAACGATTGGAAGGTTTCCTTGCCTTCTCCGATCTTACACACAGCAAGGACAGCAAAGCCTTCCAGACCTGCCTGTGACATGCACTGCACATTCTAAAGATGCCTATGCAATGGAAAACACCACTGTCTGCTCCAGCACAGCTGCCATTCTTCCATCTTATCGACCTTAATGCAACAACTCCTCACAGGCAGAGATTTTAAAATGTGTTCTTGGCAGAAGAGAGACTCAAAGATGGGACAAATGTGTCATTTAAATGCCTGTTAAAATGGAAACAGACATAGTATAGTCAGAGGATTGTGGCAGCTAAGAACATAGTCTCTGGAGCAAATCTGCATGGGTGGCAATGCCAAGCACATGAGGTCCTAGTTGTATGAACTTAGGTAAGTACAGAGGGTTCATACTTCTCTATACCTCATCTCTAAATGGAGTCAATAAAAGAACTTACCTTAGAAGTATTATTGTATTAAATGAATTAACATTTGTGAGGGGCTTAGAATAGTGCCTGGGAGTCACCATGTGAGTCTTTATTAAATAAAAAAAAAACACTAAAACTTTATCTCTTTAGGAAAAGAAAAAGAGAACATATATCCCCCTACCTTTTGATTTCCAACAGTCTACTGAGAGGCCAAGATTATTTGCAGGGAAAGAAAAGGGGTAAGTTTTATCATATACAGTACATTTTTATGCTTACTACTCTCTTAAACTGAAGGAAAACATCCAAAGAGGGAAAAAGGAGTCTTCCCCAAAGGCTACTTAAATAAAACCTGAATAAATGAAAGCTCTGTAGGTAATTTAACCCTCTGGATGGAATGACACAATTTCTACACCCTTAATGAGTATCACGTGCATTCCAGTGGGGAGAGAAATTCCCCAAATTGGTCCTCTTTATGCCTTGTTTCCTTCTTGATGTGCAATTTCATCTTTCTGGAGCTCATATAAATCTCTCCCAGCCTATATTATCTTCCCATTATGAGCCAGAGGCCATAATGACAGCCACCTGTTTTAATGACAGAGCCAGGATGGCATCATTTTCAGCAGAGTGTTGTTAATCTGGGTAACCTTTCCCTTCAGGAATGCCATCCCCACCCTCTCGCAGCTACGTGCCAGTTCCAGAGCACCTGTTCCCCTCTACTTTGAAAAGGTGAATTCCTCCCCAAGGGGGCTCCCCTGCCTACAGCCCAATCCCCTGCTACACAATTTGTATAAATCTTGCTCTTTTGGTCGCTATGGTTTTCTCAATCAAACCAGCAGGGGGAAAACGTGGGAGGTGGAAACATATTGTTTGAGGGTAGGCATTAACATCCCATAATAACCCAGCCAGAAATTTGTCAACATCATTAACAGCCCCTTTCCTGGGGCTTCTATCCTGGAGTGGCTGCTGAGGGGCCCTCGCTGTTGACTCCCCCAGGACATTAGGTGTGTGGGATCAATGGTACCACAGGGCTCATGCCAGTGACTGTCAGCGACACCATTTACTACTCAGATACACCCAGAGAGGGGCTCCCGGAGCTCTGGCCGCCTCCACTGAGCCACAGTGACATTCACAGGCTCCCTGTACTGCCTAGATGGCTAAACATGGATTTCACCTTCAAAGCTGTGCTGGCAAGCCCACCTAAGTCAGGCCCAGGTAGTTCTCGGCTTGTCTCTGGTCCTGGACACACAGTGTGGTGTAAACTGGAAATCAAACAGGCCTCGGTGCAGAGCTGGCTCTTCCTCTTACAGGGTGGAAGGCCGCAGGTGGGGCTTGTCACTTCCCTAACAAAATGCTATGGTGCCTATAGGTGGCATATGCTGGGGTCTGGCCGAGAGCAGGTACTCAGGGCAAGTTACCTGCTTTCCTCCCTCCCATGATACCTAAGACCTGCTCATCAGCCAAGGCCCAAGGCTACTGCATGAAGCCGAAGGAGGGAAATGCTGTCAGCTGCCCCCTCCACCAAACAACCTTGTCCCCCTGCTTCTATGCTGGGTCCCCTGGCAGCATCCCCACTCCTGGGTTAGCACCTACGGCTCCCATCCGTTCTTAGGCTGAATGTCTAAGACTCTCTGATGTTCCAGTCCCACACATTACTCTGAATCCACACACTGCTTTCCTGCTTCCATCCTTGTTCAGATGGAAGCCTGGGCTCTCCTCTCAGGCTGATCCTGTCTGTGCCCTGGATCCCATGCCCTCTTGCCTTCTCAGGGACTCTGCCCCCTTCTCCCCTCTCCTGATGCCTTCTATGCATTTAGATGAGTAAGTTTCTCCTCTCTTTAAGAAACATCTGGCTGGATGCAGGGACTCATGCCTATAATTCCAGCACTTTGGGAGGCTGAGGCAGGCAGCTCACCTGAGTTCAGTTGTTCGGGACCAGCCTGGCCAATGTGGCGAAACCCCATTTCTAATAAAAATACAAAAAAATAGCTGGGTGTGGTGGTGCACACCTGTAATCCCAGCTACTCGGGAGGCTGAGGCATGAGAATCGCTTGAACCTGGGAGGTGGAGGTTGCAGTGAGCTGAGATCACGCCACTGCACTCCAGTCTGGGTGACAGAGTGAGACTCTGTCACAAAAAAAAACAAAAGAAAAAAAAATCCTCCCTCCAAGTTTATTCTGTGCCGCTCACTACCATTCTTGTGAGGGGACCTCTCTTGCCCCCTCTAAAGTTGAGCTTCTTAAATGAAATGAAGTTCCTATATTTGCTCAGTTCCAGCTCATTTCAAATCCACTCCACCCTGGCTTCCTTCTTAACTCAGAGGCCAAGGCTGCTTCTGTGTGCACCGCTTTCACCTGATCCTTAGTGCCTGTGATGACTGTGGACTAGTTCAGATCCTCTGCTCTTCTCATGCAAAATATTTTCTGCAGGTCAAAATGTTTTGCCAGTAACTCCCAAATCATCTACAGCCAAGGAGAAAAGTGTTTCAAGACAGAGGTGCTCAATGGTATCAAATACTGCCAACAGACCAAGTAATACATGCATTGAAGTGTCTACTGGATCTAGCTATATGTAAGTCACTGACAACTTCTGTAAAGTTTTTGTGGTGGGGTAGGGACACTGCAGATCAGTTACCTAAACTAGTGAGTTAAAGTGACTTACAAGGCTCAAAGTCACACACCTAGATAGACCCAATACTAGAAAAGAGACTCTTCACTTCTACTATGTTATTTCATAGTTAAGTATGGACTCAGCTTGCCTTCCCTTGTGAGGGTAGAGAACTACTTTTTAAGGCATGGCTGGTCCACCCTCACATGGTCAAGTTTCAGAGTCATATTAAAGAGCAATCTTGGGGCTGAGTGTGGTGGCTCATGCCTGTAATCTCAGCACTTAGGGAGGCTGAGGCAAGCAGATCACCTGAGGTCAGGAGTTTGAGACCAGCCTGGCCAACATGGCAAAACGCCATCTCTCCAAAAACAAAACAAAAAAAAAGCTGGGAGTAGTGGTGTGTGCCTATAATCCCAGCCACTCAGGAGGCTGAGGTGGGAGAATTGCTGGAACCCGAGAAGCAGAGGTTGCAGTGAACCAAGATTGTGCCACTGCACTCCAGCCTGGGTGACAGAGCGAGACTCTGTCAAACAAACAAACAAACAAAAAACAGAAAAGAGCAATGTTTGGTAGCTGATATAGCTAGTTCTTCAAGAACAGTGTTTTGCCTCAGGCTCCAGAGTCCTTCTAGAGCATCTCAATCTTTCCTAGCACATGCCTAGATCATAAGACTTTGATTCCCTATCCTAATCTGCCCATCCTTGTAAGAAATATGCACATGAGTTTCTGCTCCTCCCATTGTCTGTAGCTCTTGGGTCCACATGGCTTTTTCCTTCCAGAGGTCAACTAATACTCTTCCTTTGGCCCCATGTGGGAGTTCTGCCCCTCACAGGTAGCAACTTGATAGCGATACTCTTACCAAACGCTAGAGGTTCAGTCTAGGTTTCATTGCTGGCTGCACAGAAAGCCAATCACTGAGACAAGTATTGCCAGGAAGAAGACCTTATTCAGATGACATCAGTTGGAGAGATGGGAGATAAACCCCAAATCTGTCCCCTCCCCAACAATAAAGTTAATGATTTATATAGACAGGAAGGACAACAGGAGGGGCAAGGAAGAGGAGTTGGTTAACAGGCAGCAGGTGCATTTCATTGTACAAATATAAGTTTCTGAAGCTTCAATTCCATGGGCATCCCGGCTTGTTGGAAAATAGTTCAATACTTGTGGGTCCTGCCCTGAGCTTCCCCTTGGCTTAAACTCTGGTTCCTTTTTGGCCACAATGGGACTGTTGCCAATTATCCAAGAAATAGTTAATCTGATCATCATATTTTCTTGACCCTATGATTTAGTCTTCATTCTCAAGGTATTAATCCACATCACCACAAATAATTAAGAATTTGTCCTAAAACTTAGCATTTATTGCATCAAAAATAACTCTCCATCATATAGCAATTTTAGAATCAAGTCTGCGTATAAAGCATCTAAAATGGCCCCCAGTGATCCCTACCTCTTGGTATTCATGTCTTTGTATAATCCCTCCTTTGAATATGGGCTGAACCTCATGACTCATTTATAATGAAGAGAGTGCAGTAACAGGGATGGCATGTCATTAGATTAAGTTACAAAATGACTATGACTTCCATCTTGTGGCCAGATCTTATTCTCTCTCTTGTTTCTTACAATGGAAGCCAGCTTCCCTATGGAAAGGCCCACATGGCAAGGAAGTGAGGGTGGTCCCAGGCAACAGAAAGGCAGGGACTAAGGCCCTCATTCCAATAGACCATAAGAAACGGAATCCTTCCAACAACTACACAAATGAGCTTGCAAGCAGATCCATCCACAGTCAAGTTTTCATAGCAGATCACAGCCCCCTTGACTGCAGCTTTGTGAGAGATGGTGAGGCATGAGTGCCCACCAAAGCTGTGCCCAATTTCCTGACCCCAAGAAACTGAGATAACAAATGTTTGTTGTTTTAAGCAGCTAACTTTTGGAATCATTTTTATACATAAACAGATAACCAATATTGCATCTAAGCTAACCCTTTTGCATGATCCAAGAGTAGAAAAGAATCACATCCAAGACAATTTTTTTTTTCCTGAGGCCCAAATCAAAATGAAGACAGAAAACTATGTTGTCAAAATTCAAGCATGATACATGATAACAAACATGATGTTATGAAGATTATTAACTTTTGATTTTTTTTTTTTTTTTTTTTGAGACAGAGTCTCACTGTCACCCAGGCTGGAGTGAAGTGCTGTGATCTCGGCTCACTGCAACCTCTACTTCCTAGGTTCAATCAATTCTTCTGCCCCAGCCTCCCCAGTGGCTGGGATTACAGGCACCTGCCACCACACCTGGCTAATTTTTGTATTTTTAATAGAAAAGGAATTTCACTATGTTGGCCAGGCTGGTCTCAAACTCCTGACCTCAAATGATCCAACCACCTCAGTCTCCCAATGTGCTGGGATTATAGGCATGAGCCACTGCGCCTGGTCAACTTTTGATTTCTAAGGTTAACTATTAATAGGAAAGTAACACGCATATCCTTCTATTCCTACTATCCCAACTGAGTAAATGGAAGAGACGAGTTGTTGCTGCTTGCTGGGTGTCACTTGGCTGTTGTTTTCTCTAGCTGATTTGGGCAGATGCAAAGTGGCTCTAGGATCCAAGTGCAGCGTTAGCATTAGTGAACTCCCAAAATATCTTGTTTTCCTGGGGTAAATTTACTTTATAACTACTACCACTGCCAACCAGAAATTAAATCAATAAATCAGTATGAGGAAATTGTCAAGAGGAGCTGGGAGTCCTGCGAGAAGAAACCAAGGGTTTATGGACTGAATTCCCACACTCCTCTGTAGCTGGCCTGCCACCCAGTTCCAGGGTCAAGGGAGGCCTAGAGAGGGGGATGGCATCAGGACCCTGGGGGCAGGAAAACACTCCAGCACTCTCAGTCCAAGTTGGCTATGGTGTCTCCGTAGCACATTTCTTCACTCCTCCAGAAAAAAAGAGAAAGTAATCATTGCCAAGCTCCTTCTGCTCTTGTTTCTTGCAGGGAATATGTATTTCTAACTTATTAACCCTTTGCAGATACTTTACATTTCTGCATGCTCAATGCTGCTTTTCTGTGAGCCCCCTTTTCCTCTGGTGTTGTTTCGCTAGAACAACATCACTCAGGACCCCGTGAAGAAGATAAAAGATCACCCTGACTATAAGTTATGAAGTTAACACAGTTGGCATACTTAGATGTTTGGTAGAGAAATGGCCTTTTGAGGTTTTACATTAGTACTACAGGGTAATTCACTGAATCATGTAGAAATCATGATTGCTACAAAAGTTACAGATGATCAAAACCATCAAATAAGCCAAAAACATATATATTTTTGGAAGGAAAAGCTCTCTGCAACCCTTCTTCTCCCTACCCTTCATGCCACACATACATACACTACACATATGAACACATTGAGATTTATGCTTGGCCAGACAGACACACTCTCAGGTTACAACTACTATGTACATAATGAGAGCTACCAGAATAATAAAGGAAAGCAATCCCATGCTATTCCTAGATGTTTCTATGTTTAGTGCCATGCATTTAAGATAGCCATATGAGTTACTGAATTTTGTATACTTCATTCAAATATGTTAGTAGAACATAAACAAAGCCATTTGTGTGACACAGAACCTCTTGACACTTGTAAATGTCCAAGTGACAATTTTTTCATTTTTGTCTGGATGCTGGACATCATCCTTACCTCAAAAATGCACTCCTCAGTCCACACTACTCCTTTCCCTGCATGACAAAGGAGCAAGTTAGCTGCTTTTGTGGGACTTAGCAGGGATTATCTACAGTTCTTCAATGATTCATTGAGACCTATGAACTGCCCAGAACACTGGGAACTGATTTATCTTGAATAATCAAACATAAACATATGCTAATCTTGTAAAAAAACAAACAAAACAAAAAAACCCGGGTATAACTATTGATGTGAAAAGTATAATTCCCCCAAGTGCCACCCTTTAGAGTTAAGGTAGCTGACATATAGAGCTATGTGCTCTCTCGTGCCAACCCTTTTTCTTTCTTTTCCCACCTCCACACACATAATAAACCTGGCAAGCATAAAATTTAGATATTAGGTTGGGGACCCTAATCAGAAGTAAAATGCTATTTTCAAAAACTATCTCTAATCATTGATCTGTCTATGGACGCTGCCTGACATGTTGCCAATACTGGCTTTTCTTTTTCTTTATTTTTTGAGATGGAGCCTCGCTCTGTCACCCAGGCTAGAGTGCAGTGGTGCGGTCTCGGCTCACTGCAAGCTCTGCCTCCTAGTATCACACCATTCTCCTGCCTCAGCCTCCCTAGTAGCTGGAACTACAGGCATCCGCCACCAAGCCCGGCTAATTTTTTGTATTTTTAGTAGAGATGGGGTTTCACCGTGTTAGCCAGGATGGTCTCGATCTCCTGACCTCGTGATCCGTCCGCCTCGGCCTCCCAAAGTGCTGGGATTACAGGCATGAGCCACCGCGCCCGGCCTGGCTTTTCCGATTCTGTTTGAATCATTCATTTTTCTCCTTCCCTCCCTTCATTGAATAAACACTTATTAAGAATTTGCTAATTATCAGCTGAGTAGGGTGGCTCACACCTGTAATCCCAGCACTTTGGGAGGCCAAGGTGAGTGGATCACCTGAGGTCAGGAGTTTGAGATCAGCCTGGCCAACATGGTGAAACCCTGTCTCTACTAAAAATACAAAAATTATCATGGCGTGGTGGCTTATGCCTATAATCCCAGCTACTTGGGAGGCTGAGGCAAGAGAATCGCTCGAACCCAGGAGGCAGAGGTGGCAGTGAGCCAGATCACACCACTGCATTCCAGCCTGGGTGACAGGCGAGACTCCGTCTCAACAACAACAACAACAACAACAACAACACCACAAAACAAAAGAACTTGCTAATTATCAAGCACTACAGCCTAGGTGATGGGGTTACAATAGCGGCCACACTGATAACTTGCTAATTATCAAGCACTACAGCCTAGGTGATGGGGTTACAATAGCGGCCACACTGATAACTTGCTAATTATCAAGCACTACAGCCTAGGTGATGGGGTTACAATAGCGGCCACACTGATAAGGTGGAGACTGTCAGGGCCCTGCCTATATGACCTCAGCCTGCCCTGAAGGTCGTCTGCAGATCCCTCCCCAAGAAGCTTGTGGATCTCAGGCTTTCTGACTTTCAGAGAGGGATTTTGCTGCTGCAGGAGCGCTTGGCCTAGGCATGGAGAAAGACAGATGCACACAAGAGCAAACACCCCTGGGGTGACTTCAACTAGCAAGAGGCAGGGCAGATGGAAAAAGACAGCTGCTTCTGCGTCCCTCGGTGGGGCAGTGCTTCACGGGGTCCCCAGCGGGCTCGAGCCTGAGTTGTCCAGGCACTAACCCACCTACACTCAGGCTTTGCTGACCTCCCCCATTCCTGTCTCACATCCCCCTCCCTCATGTCCTTAGACTCAAATTCTTGTCTCAGGATCTTCTTTGGGGAAATTCAGTGAACCTACAAACTCACTTGGGAGACAAAGAAAAGGACCTCCAAATTGTCATACAACTCCTGTTTTCCCCCAAGTAATTCAAATAGCAGAATGCTAAAATAATTCAAGTTGAGAATCTTCTAAACTTGAGTTGCCTGACATGTTTGCAATGGTATTTTAACATATCCCTCAGTGTCACAAAAATCCATAAAATGTTCATTCAAACGAAATTTGAAGGACACAAAAACCCAGGCATATTCTCTGAAAGAATTATCATCTGATGCCCAAAATACAATGCTCTTGCATTTTTCATTCTCTAAATTTAAAGATAATCCTTTGGTATTTGGGTCTTTGGACTGGCTGCTCTGTTCAGCCCTTTGTTAAATCTAAATAACATTTCCTATACTGCAAAATAATATAATACCTTGAATCAAACCAGTTGTTCTTGGTAAACTTTACTTGAATGCTATTTTTCATCAACATCACATGCCCATTAGAAAACAAAGAACAGCTGGCTTTTCACTAAAGTGATTAGTTTTCTATGATTGAATTCTGCATATTCAGTATTACCCATCTCCCCTCTATCTCTCTTGAGTTATTCCAAATTAGATTTCTATATCTAAGATACCTCAGTTTACTTTAGTTGAGGGGATAGACTGAATGGGAATAGAGTCGAAAGTAGAGAAGAATTTTGCTTCTCTAATACTTTTCAGTTCATATGGAGTAAATAAAACAAAGACAATTTTAACACCTGTGCAGTCAATAAATGTCAGTTTCCAGGAATCAATTTCAAAACTATGGTTAATTCATAGTCCCTCTTTCCCTCCCTCCATATATATATATACATTCATACACTATCATGCTATCTAGACTTACACTGTCTACAGCCACTGATACAGAATGAGAACATCTAGGAACTCAATTACTTCACACAAATAACACTTCACATTGGTAAAATAAACACTAATATAAAAACTTCTGTCACTCTGTCAATTATAGCTACTCATCACAAACTCAGAATTGAAAGTCAAATCTTGATTGATACTGTATCCTAATATGATACTGTATCCTAAGCTCAGTAACAGAATATTGCCTTTCTCAAGTTCTTTTCAATCCACAGGATTCCACAGCTGTTTTATAGTAACTCAGAGTTTGAAGAGAAATTACTCCTGCAGTACCAGTTTCCAAAATGCTTTGTAGCATCTTCTCAAAAAACAAATGGGAAGAAGCCAATCAGAAATAAGGTAGAATTGGCCAGGCACGGTGGCTCATGCCTGTAATCCAGCACTTTGGGAGGCCAAGGTGGACGGATCACCTGAGGTCAGGAGTTTGAGACCAGCCTGGCCAACATGGGAAACCCTGTCTCTACTAAAAATACAAAAATCAGCTGGGCATGGTGGCACTTGCCTATAATCTCAGCTACTTGGGAGGCTGCGGCAGAAGAATCGCTTGAACCTGGGAGGCGGAGGTTGCCTCCCGGTGAGACAAGATTGCACCACTGCGCTCCAGCCTGGGCAACAGACCGAGGCTCTGTCACGAAAAAAAAAAAAAAAAAAAAAAGAAAAGAAAAACAAAAAAGAAGAAAGAAGGTAGAATAAATAAAAGCATTACATTCATTCATTCATTTTTATTGAGATGTAATTGAAGCCTAAGCATCAAATTCTTAAAGCTCCGGATGAGAGACTTGGCAAGTGTCGGTTACTTCTTTCAAAGATGGGACTGGTGGCTCTGTAGTCGTTTGCTCCTCAAAGGATGGTCTGAGGACCAGAATCATCAGAAACCCCGTGGGAGCTTGTCAGAAATACAGAATTTCAGGTTTTGCCCCAGACCAGCTGAATCAGAACATGCATTTAAACACAATCCTCCGGTCACTTCCATAGCCACCTAAATTTGAGGAGCACCATTCTACACTGTGATATGCCAGCATCGACACTTGTTTCAGCACTTTGCTTTTGCTTGTTTCAGCACCAGAACAAGGTTATGGTGGAAAACGCTAGAAATGAAGATTTTGTCCCCAGGGATGGGGGATACAAGTTACCAAAGTAGTGGCGAGAAAAGGTACAGACAACCAGAAAGCAGTTAAAAGGGTTCCTGACTCTTCTGCCCCAAGAACAGGCCCTGCAATGATAACTGGACTCCATCCACCCCAAGAAAATGTTAGCTTGTCCAGTGATCCCACACAGTGTGGTCATGAGGACTTAGTTTCCACTGTCTGATCTTCAGCCTATTCATCTGTGAAACAAGGAGACGATGCAAAACAGGTTCCATGGAGCTCTAAGGTTCTAGGATTCTAGATACAAAAACTAACAGGCTGAGTGTATACTGCAGGGAGAACAGTCATGTAACATGAGAATTTTTGCACAATTATGCAGATTACTCTGTGATCTTGGACAATCTTTATGTTAAAATGTGATTATTGCTCCATTCAAAGTAACCATTTCTTTACCTTCTTTCTAACCTCTGCAAGACTTATTGTTTCTTTCTTTTCTCTCTCTTTATTATTTTATTTATTTTTTTTGTGAGATGGAGTCTCACTCTGTCACCTAGGCTGGAGTGCAGTGGTGCAATCTTGGCTTACTGCAACCTCTGCCTCCAGGGTTTAAGCGATTCTCTTGCTTCAGCCTCATGAGTAGCTGGGACTACAGGTGTGTGCCACCACGCCTGGCTAATTTTTTTTTTTTTTTGTATTTTTAGTAGAGATGCGGTTTCACCACGTTGGCCAGGCTGATCTTGACCTCCTGACCTCAGGTGATCCACCTGCCTTGGCCTCCCAAAGTGTTGGGATTTCAGGCGTGATCCAAGAATTTATTATTTCTTTCTACTTTACAAAAGTCAACTAGAAGGCACATGCATATCAGAGAAGGGAGAAAAATCTATGAGAGAGTGGAAGAGAGAAAGGATGAAGAATTATAAGAAATATTTGCAGAACCACTGGATTATGAGAATTCCTAAAAATCAATGTGATACCATCTTGCTTTTCAGGGATTAATTCCTTTTGTAGCATTTCATTTCCCAATTATAAAGTAGGATTGTTCTTTATTATTGCTAGAAATGGGAACATATCTTTGTTAACTTCCCAGGCATCCCTGTATGATGTATGAGTGGCCACACACATTAACAAACAAAATGTGAAGTCCTCGTGGCTCAACAACCCTTGGGATGATATGCCATATTAGTTACCAGCCACTGTATGACCTATTTTCCCTTACCTGTTATGCCTAAGTTTCTCTCAAAGCACTGTCTCAAACTCATCTCTGCTCTTTTATAGGAATTTTTAATTTAGGACACTTAGGCCATACTGAAGCAAGGTGACAAAATGAATAGCTACAATGTCTCGTGAATCTTGGGTTTCCATTCACCCTGGTATTCAAGAGAAATTCTTGCATCATGGAAGTTGCAGTTGGATAGGACTTTCTCAGCTGAACACTGTCATCTGCCAGAGCTTCAGGCAAGAACCCAGAACAGATGAAACCCCAGACATGACAAAATAAGCCAAAGAATACCAGGCCAAGGTGTGAAAGGCCAGATGAGAACAAGCAGCGTACACGATTCTGTTGCCAACAGATCTCCCCTAACAGTGTCGTGCACCAAATTTCCACAGTGAATGTCAGGAAAAAATGGCAATTGAGGTGGGTGGTCAAAAGAGAAGCACAGTCTATGATGAAGTCACCCCAGAGAAGTCCTTTTTCCGTTTTCTCCTGAGAAATTACCAGAAGAAATTAAAATCCTTTTGAGTATTGCATTTATCTCTGCAGTAACATTATTTTTTCTTAAGGAATCTCTATCAAATTTGCATCTTGTCTAATTTAGCAGGGAATGTCACCAGGATAAGACAACTGCAAAACCCATTTGGGTGTGCCAAATGACTTCAACCGAACCTCCATGCAAACAACATACAAGATGCTTTCTTACTAAATGCTCAAACATCAAGTTCTACATCCAGAACTGCCCCTCAACCCTCACCCTCTCGAACTCAGTAAAAAACAACCCTCTTTCTAGCTCTGCATTTCCAATGAATGCCTCTTCCTCCAGACATCCCTAGTTTTTGTTCATGATACTAGGACATTCCTAAACTGGAAATGTGAGAATCATGTGGACTGCTCGCTCCCTCCTTCATTGCCTGAGTTTAAGCAAATAATATTGATTAGTTTTCCCCAATATTTTCTGTAATCAACTATTTCGTTTTTGTTTCTACAATGAGCAGTCTTGTTCATGCACCTGTTACTCTCACTTCAACCATTCAGAAAGATTCTTAGCTCCCATTTACTCATGAGTTCATTTGATGCATATTTGAGCATCTGTTGTGTGCTGGAGGCACTATGCTAGGTGTTGAGGATAGAAAGGTGAGCACGGTAGACTTGGGGCCACTCCTCGAGGAGTTTACAAGCTGCTGGCTCTTCCCACCATGATAGATGTTACAGATTACCATCAGATTAACCTTGCTAACGTGCTCTTTGAATTCTATTTTTAACCCTGTTCCAATGCCCCTACTGGTATTGAAAACAAAACAAAGCAAATCACAATAAGGTATCACCTCACCCCAATTAAAATGGCTATTACAAAAAAGACGCAAAATAAGAAACGCTGGCACTGATTGGAGAAAGGGAACCCTTGTATACTGTTTGTGGGAATGTACATTAGCATAGCCATTACGGAAATCAGTATGGAGGTTTCTTAAAAATCTAAAAATAGAACTGCCATATGATGTAGCCATCCCACTATTGGGTAAATATGCAAAGGAATTGAAATCAATACGTCAGGACATATCTGCACTCCCGTGTTCATGGCACCATTATCCACAATAGCCAAGATATGGAATCAACCTAAGCACCCATCCACAGATGAACAGATAAAGAAAATGTGGTATATATACACAATAGAATATTCTTTGGCCATAAGAAAATCAAAATCTGTCATTTTCAACAATATGGATGAACTTGGAGAGCATTATGTTAAGTGAAATAAGCCAGGCACAGAAAGACAGATACCATATCACCTTACTCATATGTGGAATCTAAAGAAGTTGATATGATAGAAGTAGAGAGTAGAATAGTGGTTACCAGGGGATGGGGTGGGGTGGGGATGAGAGGAGGGCACTGGGAAAGAAGGTCAATGGGTATAAAGTTACCGTTGGATACTAAGCTCTTGTTGCTCTATTGCATAATAGGGTGACTGTGGTTATAATAATATAAAATTATAAAATGTTATATATTTCAAAACAGGTAATTTTAAATGCTCTCACAACAAAGAAATGATAATTGTATGAGATGACAGATATGCTAAATACCCTGATTTGATTTTTGCACAATGTATTCAGGTATAGAAATATCATACTGTACCACATAAATATGTATAACTATTATGTGTCAAAATATTTTTTATATATGGTCTCAGTCTGTCACCTAGGCTGGAGTGCAGTGGTGCCATCATGGCTCACTGCAGCTTCAACCTCCTGGGCTTAAGAGATCCTCCCACCTCAGCCTCCTGAGTCACTGGGACTACAGCCGTGTGCCACCATGCCTGGCTAACTTTTGTACCTTTTTTTTTTTTTAAGAGACTTGGTTTTGCCATGTTGCCCAAGCTGGTCTTGAACTCCTGGGCTCAAGCATTCCTCCTGCCTCAGCCTCCCAAAGTGCTGGGATTACAGGCATGAGCCACTGTGCCCGGCCTTGTGTCAATTTTTTAAAAAGTAAACCACTTCTATCATTCTAAAGCTTTGCAATCTGGCTTCTATCTACTTTTCTAATTCATATTTCATTATTCTCTTAACAAACCATCTGGGTGAAACCAGTTGGCTGGGTCTCCATCTCCAGACACTCTACATTCCTTGCACTTTGCTTTATTTTTGCCCTTTCTGGTTGCAGAAGGGATATTCCCTCCAATGATATTCTTTCAATTGCCATATGAAAAATGTTCTCTCTTCTCTGCACTTAATTCTTTGGTCCAGGTATATGTTACTTAATGTATTATACATACATATATATATACACACACACACACACACATACACATACATATTTACTTTATCATGTAAGAGACATTTTGCTAAGAAAGAACATGCTTTCTTCTACTAAAATTGATTCCTACTTTTGAACCATTTGGTTCTTTTATTTAATTAACTAATTTATTAGTTTAATTTTTAATTGACAAGGTAAAACTTTCCCATATTTATAGGGTACATTGTGATGTCTTGATGTACATATACATAGACTGTGGAATGATTAAATCAAATAATTAAATATCTATCACTTCACATATTGATCTTTTTTTGTGATGAGAACATTTAAAATCTACCTTCCTAGCAATTTTCCAGTATACATAAATTAATTATAGTCACTATGCTGTACAATAGATCTCCCAAAGTTATTCCTCCTGTCCAGTGAATCTCTGTACCTTTTGACCAACATCTCCCCACTCCCCACCGCATACCTTGTCCAGCCCCCATGCTACTCTGCTTCTATGAGTTGGATTTTTTTAGTAGAATCTTTTGGTTCTTAAGGGCAGGGATCATCGTACCTTGTATCCCCCATAGGACCTCATATATTTCCTTGATCAAGGATGTCATTAGTAATGATACTGCCTGATATGTTCTGGCTGTGTCCCCACCCAGATCTCATTTTGAATTCCCACACACTGTGGGAGGGGCCTGGTGGGAGGTAATGGAATCATGGGGGCAGGTCTTTCCCATGCTGTTCTCATGATAGTGAATAAGACTCATGAGATGTGATGGTTTTATAAAGGGCAGTTCCCCTGCACAAGTTCTCTTGCCAGCCACCATGTAAGACATGACTTTGATCCTCATTCACCTTCTGCCATGGTTGTGAGGCCTCCCTAGCCATGTGGAACTGTGAGTCCATTAAACCTCATGTCTTTATAAATTACTCAGTTGTGGGTATGTCTTTATTAGCAGCGTGAGAAAAGACTAATGCATTGCTATTATCAAGAGATTCATTTTAAGGTTTCATTGTGGTGTCCATAAGCATCTCCATTATTAATTAGGTATGTATTTTAAAAACTTGTAAACCATACGCAGAAACCTATTACGTTGAAAGCCTAATTTGGAAATAAATTTTCTTTACTTTGGAAGGGGTGCCGTGGTGCCCAATGATGAATTAGGGGCCACCAGGTGTCACTATGTCGATGCTAGCCTGAGTTCCACAGGTTGGGATCTGGGTGAGGGAGGGTCTCAAATGCTATAACTGTGGTGGTAAATAGAGTTTCCACTTACTCACTGGATAATCATGTTTCCAGTATGAGTTTCTCTTTAGAATCCTTTATGGAGCTTGGCATTATTCCTTAAAGTTACACCCCCCACCCCCAGCCAGCATGACAAGCAGAGGTTTAAGGATGAATAGTCAGGCCTAATGGGGAATTTATTTTCTCTGCTGGCTCATGTCACTGCCTCAGCTTGGTTTTATATAGTGTTTTGTGAGTCTAATGTTGCTTATTTGAAAAATGAACACAATATAGGATGCTTGAGTGGTTTCAGTCCAAAAGGAAAACTGCGTATTCGCCAGAAAGAAGGAAAAGGAAAATACATAATAGAAACATTTACAAAACCTAATCCGAAAAGAAAGGTTTACAGGGTTTAAAACTATCTATGTATACATGGGAATAAATTTTATTAATTTATGTGTTCTTGGTAGCTCGACAATCCCAAACATCAGTGGAAGCCAATATTTAAGAAGGTATAAAAAGCAAATCAACCTTGGGCAGGCACAGAAACTCTCCAACCTGTTTTGTTTTTGTCAAAGCTCATTGGACAGCAAAATCTGAAACCCTTTAGAGGAATAAGAAAGGCTTTTTAACTAACATGGGTGTGCTTTATACTACAAAAGTTATTAAGTAAAGATGAGAATATTGTATTTAATATAGAATGTTATTATATCTTGGAAATGCCCCTTTAAATACAGGAGAAAATGAATGGCAAAAGGTTATGGAAAAAAATTATTCACCCAAGGGACGAGCAACTTTTACATAGCAAATGAGGAATTCTAACTGCAAAATTGTATCTTACGTGGAAACCATTTTCTACCCCTTTGCTCTATAAACTCTGAAGATATGAATGCTTCCACAAACAGAATGAATAAATCTCCAATTCTCTATGGCGACAAATCCAGAAAACGGCAGGCTTTATCTTAAAGAAGTTCCACTACTGCACAAAAGCTCTCATGCACAAATAATGGAATTCTCAAATTGGGATAAATGTGCTTTTAAGAATTTTTATTTTGATCATTTATTTCAGGAAACACTTGTGGATCATGCAACATAGCTTTGAATTACAGAGCAGATAAGGAAAATCTAAAAGGAAAAAAATTAGGGCAGGGCTTTATTAATTTTTAAAGTATGTCTTTGCTATCCTCTTATAAAGAGCCAAATAGGGTATCAAAATCTCTGGAGATCACCAGTATAATTTCTTTATCATGTTCCATTTAAAATTTAATTATGCAGTCTACCATAAGAAGAATCTGAGAAGTCTAAATAGGTCACACAGTGAGTAACTTAACAATATTCTAAAGTTTTCCTCATAAAGATCATTCCTTTGATAGTCTGCTACACATCAGAACACTATATTATAAAACAAGTGTAATTTAATTCAGTCACTATGGATTCTTATACGCATCTATAAAGAATTTTGAGAATTAATGAACACCACATTTGCGATGGAGCTGCCCGTGATAGGCGGGCAGTATTTGCATATATACTTCCTTTAAGTGATTGTTATTTTCGTGTATTATAGCAAGGTCAAGGGACTTTTACATTTAATGCTTTGGGTATTCTCTTTTGAATCATCAGCAATAACTCGTAGCAAGGCAACAATCTAGGCACTGCATAATTAAACTCTGAATTTGAGGGTTATATGCCCGATGGCTTGATGCTCTCTCATCTCCACCTCAAATTTCAACTAACATGCAACTTTAATTTCCTTATAATAAGATAAAGAGCAAACACTGTTTTAAGCACTTTACGGGTATCATTTCACTTACTTGTCAGAACAGCTGGCCCTATTATTACCCATTTTACAGATGAAGAAACTGAGGCAGACAGAGGTGAAGAAACTTGCACAAGGTCAAAGAACAAGTAAGTGGCTGAACTGGGATTTTTAACACAAGCCGGAGTTTGGCTCTAGATCATATGCACTGAATCACTTCGCTGGGCTGCTCCTTATAATGTAATATGGTATCTTCTCTTAGACATGAACACACCTAAGCATTGGTAAAATAATTAGCATAATCCTCTCTTTCAGTGAACTAAGATAACAGCTACCACCTATTGATTGCTGTGTGGCAGGCATTGAGCTAAATACTTTACATGGGTTATCTCCACACAGTGATACTATGAGATGGGTGTGATAATTCTTCCAATGTTATAAATGAAAAACTGAGGCAGAGATAATAACATAATAACTTAAGTCCACATGATTAAGGAATGGCAGACACAAGATTCAAGCATTTCTGAGCCCAAAGACTGATCTCGTAGCTTCCATGTTAACATGGCCTCAACAGCAACAGCCAAATTTAGGTTAATAACTTTCCAGCCAATTAAATGAATTTTTCCAGGTGCCCAAGTCTACGGAGCAGTGAGAAGAGTGAGAAGGGTGAGAGAAGGCAGAAATCATACATCTTGTCTACCCCTGGTTCTTTAGGAGAAGGCTTCCTCAATCCTTCCTCCTTCCCTTCCCAATTCAAATATTTATTCATTGATTTAAACATTTATTAATCCATTCAAACACTTATTAATTCATTTAAACATCTATTCAGACGGTCAAACACTTATGCAAATATTTATTCGTGCCTACTATGTTCCAGGCACTGCTAGGCACTGGGGACAAACAACAAATAGTAATAGGATTTTAGTGTGTTTCCTACTTAGCGGAGAAGGTGTAAAAGTCCTCTAGTCAATTATATTATTGGATGACACAGATGCTAGGATAGGGGTTAAAACTGGGGTCTTTGGGAACCAACAGAAGGAACATAAATCTCTTCAGGGCAGAGAAGGTATCAAAGAAACCTAGGATGTGTATAGAACAGTGGTCAGCAAACCTTTCTATAAAAGTAAACAGTAAATATTTTCAGTTTGGGGGCTATACCGTCTCTGCCACAGCTACTCAACTGTGATGTTGTAGCACAAAAATGGTACAGACAACACATAAATAGATGTTATGGCTGTGTTCATATATATATATATTTATAAGCACAGGCCACTATCTAGATTTCGTCTGTGGGCTGTAGTTTGCAAAATCCGGATCTAGAAGAACAAGTGGTAGAGAGTTTGGTAGGGGAGAAAAAGAGCAGAGAGATGACACTGGGCTTTCAAATAGAAGGAAGAACACATACAAAGAGTAGGAGACCAGATCTCAGTTTTCTTATCTCTGAAATGGGGGCTCATATAGTCATTCAACAAACATTTATTGACTGCCAGTTCTGTTCAGGGTCCTACAAATGGAGGAATAAACCGGACAGGCAAGGGAGACATTGTTCTGGAGCTAAGGGGGAAGGGAACAGATCATTTATAAATCAACAAATAAAAAATAGATGACAATAAATATGGCGATGTGATAGGAAGTGTGTTGGGGGGTTACTTAATAGGGTGGTGAAAGGAGAACTTTCTGTGGAAGTAAGTGCGGAGAAAGGCCGGTGTGTCAGAAGCAAAATAAATGAGAAAGAAAGTAGCAGGTGATGAGGCTGCAGAGGTAGATGAAAGCAGCCCTTGGAACCAAAGTGCATTGCATTGATTTTATTCTAAGCAATAGGAAACTCTTACATGATTTTATGAAAAAAACAATATTTTGATGGATGACTTTTCAGAGATCATTTGGACTTCTACCTAGAGAATGAATTGCAAAAGAGGAAGTGGGAAGGACCAATTCAAAGGCCATTTAACAGTTCAGGTGGGAGTTTATGGTGGCTTGGAAAGAGAGAGAGAAAGTAGACAAAGTGAAGATAAATTTTAGGTTGGGCATGGTACCTCACGCCTGTAATCCCAGCATTTTAGGAGGCCAAGGTGGGAGAGGTGCTTGAGGCCCAGAGTTTGAGACCAGCTTGGGTAACATACCAAGACTCCATCTCCACAAAAAATGTTCAAAATTAGCCCAGTGTGCTGATGTACACCTGTAGTCCCAGCTACTTGGGAGTCTGAGGCAGGAGGATCACTTGAGCCCAGGAGTTCGAGGCTGCAGTGTGCTATGATCATGCCACTGAACTTTCATCTTGGCAACAGAGTGAGACCCATTTCAAAAAAAATAAATAAATAAAGATACATTTTGGAGGTTGAGCCAACAAGTTATCTGCTAAGTCTGAGAACAGAAAAAGGTGTTTTTTTTTTTTTTTTTTTTAATGTCACTAGGTTCTCCTTTGAGTGTTGGGTATATGATGATAAGGTGGGCTGAGGTAGGGTTCAAGAGTTCTTTTCTGGCCACATTAAGTTTAAGTTTATGCTTCCACATAGAGAGTCACATTAGCAGCTGGATATTCAGCTGTGAAGCTCAAGGAAGAAGTCAGGGCTGGAGATATATGAATGAGAACCATCTGCATAAAGATGATCTTTAAAATCATGGAGCTGGATGAAATCTCTCTCCACTCCTCCCCACAGGGGAATGGAGCAATGCCCAGGGCGCCCTGGGGCACCTCAACCTGCAGAGGCCAGTCAAGCTGGCAAGGAGTAACAGAAGACTGATGAAGAATGGCCAGCAAGAGAGGAGGGAAACCTGGAGGGCTTGATGTCTCTACAATGAAGAGAGCACTTCATGGAGGAGGAAGTTGTCCCTAGGTTGAATGCAGCTGAGGGACTAATTAAGATCACAGCTAAATGGCCACTGGATTTACCCAGATGGAGAAGAAGAAGAAAAGCACCTACCTGGCATGGATGCCATTCTTTAAGTACTTACAATCCATTCTCCCCTTACCCCGACTCCTACCTTTCTCCTTGCTGACAGAACAGGCCTCCCATTACAAAGGCTGAGAATACCAGAAACCCAATGTCCCCTCCCTAAGGGATCAGGCATGGAAAAGGGATTCCTCCCCTAAAAAACAGTCCCATGGAAGAAGATGGACATGGTCCCCACGTGACGGCTGGAGTTGCTGTGAGCATGAGGTGCGCCTTATCAACATGATGAAGATGGCAGACGGTGTACCAGGGTGCTGGCTGTAGTCCGTTTTGTGCTGTTATAACAGAATCACACAGACTGAGTAATTGACAAAGAACAGAGATTCATTTCTCAGAGTTCTGGAGGCTGGGAATTTCAAGCTCAAAACACCAACATCCGTGTGAGCCTTCTTACGGTGTCCTCACATGGCAGACAGCAGAAGAGCAAGAGAAGACAAACATTGGGTCCTCACATGGCAGAAGAGCGAGAAAAGGAGTGAATCTGCCCCCACAAGCCCTTTTTACGGTGGCATTGATCCGCTCATGACATCAGAGCCCTCATGACCTCACCACCTCCCATTCATTCTCACCTCCCCAGAGTCACATTGAGGAGTAGGTTTCCAGCACATGAATTGTGGGGGACACATTCAGACCATAGAGGCTCTGAATTCACCCTGGGCCTTCTCTGACCTCTTGAACCATAACTACAAACTCAACCTGCATTTTTAGCCTGCTGTAACTACCGAGGCTTTTCAATGGATTCAACCTGAGAAAAATAATAAAGAAGGACATTGTAAGGGAAAGGTTTGTGCAGGAAAGAACTCAGTCACAGGCTATGAGTGGTAGATGCATTAGAAAAGGTGAGGAGGTAGGGGCTGGGGCAGGGAGGAAGAGAGAACACACCTCACCATCTGCAGCTGTGATCGCAGAGTCTGGGTGCTGTATGATGGTTGGGCGCTGGGAGTAGAAAGTTGGGTTGTGAAAGGTATGGAAACCAGTCACTTAGGCCAGAGGGTTTGTTTCATATTTTGAGTCAAGCAGTGAATCTGAAAGAAGACGGTTTGGAGGGTGGCAAGGTCTGGGGACTCTGTGGGCTATCCCCTGGCCTGTACTTACCCACTCTGACCCACTCGCTCCAGTCCTGCTCAGAAGGTTGGTTCGGGATGATGTCCTTACTGCCTCTGATCAGAACTAGCCCATCTCGCTGCTGAAATCCCTTGGGTTTTGTGTTTGCTTCAGTGTTTCCCTAGTTCTCTTATGGGTTAAACACTTTCCCATAGCACTGGGATGATCGGTACCTTCTTCATGCCACTGAACCACTTCAGAGAAGAGATGGTGTCCGTCTGTTTTCTCCCACAACCAAGGTACAGCACGCACTAAGTGTATGCCAAGCTGACAACCATGCTTGGCATATACTTAGTGCATGCTGTACCCTGGTTGAATTAACGATAGAGGATGAACTGTGTCAATACTGAATAGCACCAGGCATGGGCCCCAGGAGAGCTGGGGGAGCTGCTGCTTCCTAGGGATTATAAAGAAGACAGGAAGTGTCCATCCATCGGCTCTAGATGACTCAGTAAGAGGTTGGCCTGGAAGTACCAGCATATTTATCTCTTAATTTTCGAAAGTCTTTCAGAAAATGGCATTGCGTACTGAGGACAGTGAGAAATAGGAGGTTATGTTTCCTATCAAAGCCCTCCATGTAGAAAGGTGAGCTCTCAGAGATGATCTGAATTATCTTTGCTTCCACCGTTTCTGCCTATTGCTACCTGATCTGTCACATCCATGACTGAGAAATATTGTCAGCTGGAGAGGTAAGTCTCTCTCGTCCTTTAAATGGAATCTGTTCGGTTCAAATTTTAGATAACAAAGATCTATGACTTAAGACCAGAATTTCACACGCAAAACGGCATATAACGGCTTTTGTCTCTGACAGTCACACAAACCAGGCATTTCCGTCTTCTTGGTAGCGGCTCTCAGACAGTAATCCTATGGTATACGCCAGTGTTCTAGGTATTGGGGGTTCCCCAATTGCTTAGATTGAATTATGTTTCCTAACCCTCTCACAGAAGGCAAAAAAAAAAAAAAAAAAGCGATCAAGTTACTGGATTAATATACAAGAGAAAAGTCTAAATTTTTCTTTCGTAACTTCTTTAACTGTTGGCCCCTGCTTTCACTGGTTTATACTAAAATCCAGTACAAGATGACATCTGATTTATATACCGAATTATTTTAAGCTTCATTTACGAATACTTCGTGGTCCTCAAAGAACATCCTGACTTTTCGGTGCTGTGTTTAAGAATCAACATATGAATCTCTACTGCAGTACTTAAGATACTTCTGTTAAGGTCTATTATATCCCTTCATTTTCTAAACTGTTTAGTTTATGTTGAAAAACAGTGGACTCTGTTAACAAGGAATTAAAATGCTCCCTTTTTTTCAAAAACAGCAGCTCATAGTGCATGATTACAGTAAAACCTCTGTTGATATAAACTGTGTTTATATCTTTTTTTTTTTTTTTTTTTTTTTTTTTTTGGGACGGAGTCTCGCTGTGTTGCCCAGGCTGGAGTGCAGTGGCGCGATCTCGGCTCACTGCAAGCTCCGCCTCCCGGGTTCACGCCATTCTCCTGCCTCAGCCTCCCGAGTAGCTGGGACTACAGGCGCCCGCCACCACGCCCGGCTAATTTTTTGTATTTTTAGTAGAGAGTGTTTATATCTTTACTTTGCTATCCAAAATAAAATTTTCTCTCTTTATAGGCATTTATATTGAAACCTCATTCCATTTGAACAAGTGGGGTTTCACCATGATTTATTTAAAACACATCTACCGAAACGCAACACCCTTCATCCTAAAAACCAGATCTTGAAAAACATGATTGTAACGGGGAAAACAACTGCTCAGATTGCTAAATTGTCCTTTGCTACAAGCAAAAATAAAAGCAAGGAGTCATTTATAAGATTGAAAATGATTGTTTTCATAGTTCAAAAAATGGTTCCATACATCCCGTTTCCGGGACACTTCAACATAAAGAGATCGGCATGGATAGTACGTGTAGCCAGTTTAAATATTTGTTTTAATCCTAACAAGATCATTGGTTTTAATATTTATAATATAATTTCAATGCTTAGTGCATGTTGCTCATATAATCTAATTTTTTTCTGGTGACTTATTACTACCAGGCTTTAATTTCAGCAATGGCAAGAATTCAAAAACACATTTAGGTTATCATTAGCAATGAAAAACAAACTTAGCGCCTGCCTGTTCAAGCACCTTGGGCACATATCTCATTTCGACTTCAAAGCATTTTTAACTACCCAGACGCAATCCACTGCTACAGCATGCGCACATTTTCACAGAATATTATCCACCAGTGGCCGGAGTGCTTTAAATTAGTACCACGTAAGGTAATTACGGTGGAAATACTCCACCCTTATGCAACCCGTGTAAATGGTCTTTCGGAACATTTCAAGACAGTCATAGCCAATGAAAACCAAACCATAAAACTGTTCTCAAATGCCACCGTCTTCCTTCCCAGCCACATATCACTAGTTGGCAGTTGCCTGAGTTGCATTTTTCCATTTTTCCTAGACGTCACAGCGTAAGCGCACCTTTATGACTAAGTGCAGAAAAAACTCGAAGTGTCATGTTCCACTAATCATTAGCCTACAAACAAACAAAATAACTACAGGTGCCTTGTTTTCCACAGCACCGAGGTATTTCGGGGCTAATTTGTACTTTCCCCGTGACAGGCTGAAGAAATCTGAAAAAAGGCTGAAAGCTGGAACAACTGATGGAATTCTACGAGACTGTACAAACAAACAAACACTAGCAAAAGAAATAAGCTGGACACAAGGGGAGGATTCATCATCAAATCATTACATGATTTCATGTTAATGTGGGGAAGGGAAATATTTGTCAATGGCTATGTCTCAAACTGCCCCTGGAGAAGTCGAAAGAATACCTGAAGCTACATTAGAAGTACGATTGAGAAATCACTGATATATTACTTCTCACTCCTTTATCGCCAGGCAGTACAGTGATTGCAAATTGCAGTTAGAATGGGAATGTCGGCATGTTGTTTATTTTCAACATGATTCGACATGAGAATAACAAAAATTCCTGAAGAAAAATAAGTAGGCTTATTACCGAAATACCACCCACCAAACCTAAGAAGAGAGCAGCCTCTCCCTTGAGTAATAAACCAGCTACAAAAGATCATTCCTGGGGAATATACGCGTTGCTGCTTGGTATTCAAAATACAGCGCTACTTAATAGAATTCCGGGTGCCGACGGTGATTTCTCAGACATCTGAATCATTTTCATCTGTGTGATTACAGCACGGAGTGGGTATCTTCTGACAACATAGAGGTGGTCTGCTTCTTAGCTGCTCTACAAAAGTTTGGAAGTCATTCCTCGTTCCATTATTTCAGGATTGACTTCCTCAGCCCAAACGTGGGTAGACACACAACAATCTCTCTGCCCACACATGATGGGATGCTCAGGTCTTCAGGGTGGACTTTTTCCAGAGTGAAAGCACAAAGACAAACAATTTTAGCGGGGAGACACAAACCAGAACACTCGGACAGTTTTAACCCTGAAAACTGGCACATGATGGAAATGTTTCTTTGGGACGTTATCCAAAGAATGAAGACCTACAGTAATTTAAATATTTGGATCACAGTAAACAGTTTTTTTTTGGCAATATTAATCTTGATCCTATAAGCAAAGATTTTCTTTACATAAAAAAAGCAACCAAATGTGCTTATCTCCGGTAACAGATGGCAACAATTTGTACTTTCCCCTGTTCTCCAGTGCTGTTCATGACAACATTGGGCTCACTCTGCTTCTCCTGTTCTTGAGATTCTCTTGATTTCTACTTCCAACAGTTTCTAGGCAATATCCTAGGACATATGAATACATTCACGCATGATTATCGAGTACCTTCAAAAACTAAGGCACGAGCCAGGCGCGGGGGCTCACGCCTGTAATCCCATCCACGCTTAGGTAGAATGTCTAAGACTCCCTGAGGCCCCAGTCCCACACACTGCTCTGAATCCACACACCCCTTTCCTGCGTCCATCCTTGTTCAAATAGAAGCCTGGGCTCTCCTCTCAAGCTGATCCCATCTGTGCCCTGGATCCCGTGCCCTCTTGCCTTCTCAGGGACTCCGTCCTCTTCCCCTCTCTCCTGATGTCTTCTGCACATTTAGATGAGTAAATTTCTCCTCTCTTTTGGAAACATCTGACATGGCCAGGCACGGTGGCTCACACCTGTAATCCCAGCACCTTGGGAGGCCGAGACAGGTGGATCACCTGAGGTCAGGAGTTCGAGACCAGCTGGCCAACATGGTGAAACCCCATCTCTACTAAAAATACAAAAGTTAGCTGGGCGTAGTGGTGCACGCCTGTAATCCCAGCTACTCAGGAGGCTGAGGCAGGAGAATCGCTTGAACCCAGGGGCGGAGGTTGCAGTGAGCCGAGATCGTGCCACTGCACTCCAGCCTGGGCGACAGAAGGAGACTCCAGCTAAAACAAACAAAAACAAACAAAAAACAAACACCTGGCCGGGCACAGTGGTTCATGCCTGTAATCCCAGCATTTTGGGAGGCCGAGACGGGTGGATCACCTGAGGTCAGGAATTTGAGACCAGCCTGGCCAACATGGCAAAACTCTGTCTCTACGAAAAATACAAAAATTAGCCGGGCATGGTGGCAGTCTCCTGTAATCCCAGCTACCCAGAAGGCTGAGGCAGGAGAATCGCTTGAACCTGGGAGGTGGAAGTTGCAGTGAGTTGAGACTGCACCACTGCACTCCAGCCTGGGTGAAAGCGTGAGATTCTGTCTCAAAAAATAACAACAACAACAACAACAACAAAACAAAGGCACAATCCTTGGTGCTCAGGAGAGATTCTAGATACATTCAATGCCCAGCAAAATACCTCTTAAATTATTGCCCCTTCCTCCCTCCCTTCCTAAGTTTCTTCCTCCCTCCCCAGTCTTCCCTCCCCCATCCCCTCTCCCTCCCTTCCTCTCTTCCTTCTTCCTTCCTTTCTTCTTGCCTCCCCAGTCTTACCCCCATCTCTTCTCCTTTCCTCCCTTCCTCCTTCCTTCCTTCTTTTCTCCATTTCTCCCTCCCTTCCATTAAATGCTGGTAATCATCCTTGATGGCTAGTTATTTAGAGCTTGCATTCTGTTAATCATGTCTTATTTAATATACTGACATAAATATCAAAAACATATAAAACACATTGATAAATTACATATAAAGCACAATGATCAATTACATATTAATTTCTTTCTATGATATAATATTACTAAGTATTTATTTTGATGACAGTGAGAATTCCACTGCACTTATACTATCAATACTATGATGTGAGCTCTTCAGGGGAAGCTCAGGATTCTTTCATAAATCTCTAAGTCCCTGAACACAGTAAGAATACTGAATACATTGAAGAAAAAACCAATCCAATATGTTTTTCGATTGCCAATTCCCGTGAACATAATAAAGGAAGCAGCATGTTTATGATTTCTATGGCATATCTAGCTCATATATACATCTCCAAATATACCATATGACTTCAAAGGAATGTGAATAATCTAAGTCATTTATGAACATGAGCCTCATTACTTCCTGGTTACATCATGTATATGTGACGCATGCATAATTTTTGGCATTTACATGGTGATGTATGAGGTATCAAAATCTGACATGAGGAAGACAAAATGAGAAGACCTCTTACAGAAGACATGGCACAGTACTTCTCTTTGTGGATATAAGAAATCGGGCATAGAATAAGCAAAGCCAGCGTGCTCACCTTGGTAGACTCCCAGCTAACTCTGTGGCCGTCTCTCTGCAGGAAGGAGAAAAAGAAGATAAGTATGATTAAGTTTATTTTGGTGAATTATGAAAATGTATTTAATCACATAATAAGTATTATGGTATCAGGTATAAAGAAGATACCGTACATGCAGGTGGTTAGAAAGTTAAAATTGATTAATTGCATTTCTGATTAATTCCCATTGATCATTCCAATGGTTACTTTCAACGGAAATTTTATACACATGCAAAATATCTGCCTCTACTTTCTGGTGGTTGAATACAATGAAGTTCAAAACATTAAAATGTAAAAATGTACAACATCCAGAAGGATAATAGAAAGAGAAACAAATCCCAAACCACCTTGTAGACATTTACATGTTAAACGAAGCACCAATGATCTTTCTCCAAGAATCTCTGAGAAATGTATTCCTTTGGGGATGTTGCTTCATGTTGACCTCTGTCACCCGAAGCTTATGAAGGAACACAAACAGCACAAAATGGAATTCTTTTAGTAGCAAACTGCTGTTTTTCATTTCTTTGTTATAAAGTTCTACCATTTAGGACTGTTGAAGGTAGATACTATGATAATTCAAATGGCACAAAAGAAAAGTCACTAAAGAAAGGCTTTTGCATATTAATAAAAATGACCAGAGACAAATTTCAAAACTAACTTTGTCCCAATTGCCGTCTCTTGTCTTTCGTTTTCTTTCTTTCTTTTTTTTTTTCAGACAGAGTATCTCTCTTTTGCCCAGGCTAGAGTACACTGGCGTGATCTCAGCTCACTGCAAACTCTGCCTCCTGGGTTCCAGCGATTCTCGTGCCTCAGCCTCCTGAGTAGCTGGGATTACAGTTGTGTGCCACCACGTGCAGCTAACTTTTGTATTTTTAGTAGAGACAGGTTTTT